>NW_003571057.2:904777-1091841 GCF_000001405.40 Homo sapiens
AAGCTTTGCGGCAGTACAGCCCAGGTAATTTGCTGAGCTTGATCGGTGTCAGGGTCAGTCCAAGTGAAAGCGAAGAGAGGCTGGGATGAAGGGTGCAAAGGAATAGTAAAGAAAGCACGTTTGAGATCCAGAACAGAATAATGGGTTGTAGAGGCAGGTATTGAGGATAGGAGAGTATATGGGTTTGGCACTACGGGGTGGATAGGCAAAACAATTTGGTTGATAAGGCGCAGATCCTGAACTAATGTGTAAGCCTTGTCTGGTTTTAGGACAGGTAAAATGGGAGAATTGTAAGGGGAGTTTATAGGCTTTAAAAGGCCATGCTGTAGCAGGCTTTAATCCTTTTAAAGCGTGCTGCGGAATGGGATATTGGCGTTGAGTGGGGTAAGGGTGATTAGGTTTTAATGAGATGGTAAGGGGTGCATGATCGGTCACCAAGGAGGGAGTAGAGGTATCCTATACTTGTGGGTTAAGGTGGGGGGATGCAAGAGGAGGAAGCAAAGGAGGCTTTGGATTGGGAAGAATGGCAGCAATGAGATATAGCTGTAGTCCAGGAACAGTCAGGGAAGCAGATAATTTAGTTAAAGTGTCTCAGCCTAATAAGGGAACTGGGCAGGTGGGGATAACTGAAAAGGAGTGCTTGAAAGAGTATTGTCTAAGTTGGCACCAGAGTTGGGGAGTTTTAAGAGGTTTAGAAGCCTAGCTGTCAATACCTACAACAGTTATGGAGGCAAGGGAAACAGGCCCTTGAAAAGAAGGTAATGTGGAGTGGGTAGCCTCCATATTGATTAAGAAGGGGACGGGCTTACCTTCCACTGTGAGAGTTACCTAGACTGTGATGGTCCTGTAGGCTTCTGAGGCGATCGGGATCGGGCAGTGTCAGTCTTCAGCTGCTAAGCCGAGAAGATCTGGGAAGGAGTCAGAGAGCCTTGGGCCAGAGTTCTAGCTGCTCTGGGAGTGGCTGCCAGGTGAGTTGAACAGTCCGATTTTCAGTGGGGTCCCGCACAGATGGGATGCGGCTTAGGAGGAATCCCAGGCTGTGGACATTCCTTGGCCCAGTGGCCAGATTTCCAGTACTTGTAGCAAGCTCCTGGGGGAAGAGGTTCTGGAGGAACCCCTGGCAGCTGCGGTTCAGGCGTTTGGAGTTCTCGTGTGCTGGAGATGTGGCTGGGGTTTGTCTCATCTGGATACTGGAGTGGAGGCAAGGAATTGCAACTCAGAAATATGTTGCTATTTGGCTGCCTCTACTCTATTACTGTACACCTTGAAGGCGAGGTTAATTAAGTCTTGTTGTGGGGTTTGAGGGACAGAATTTAATTTTTGGAGCTTTATTTAATGTTGGGAGCAGATTTGGTAATAAAATGTATATTGAGAATAAGACGGCCTTTTGACTTAGGGTCTAGGGCTGTAAAGCGTCTCAGGGTTGCTGCCAAATGAGCCATGAACTGGGCTGTGTTTTTAAATTTGATGAAAAAGAGCCTAAACACTATCTGATTTGGGAGAGGTCAGATAAAGAAAAAGGAGCATTAACCTTGACTATGCCTTTAGCTTCAGCCACCTTTTTAAGAGGAAATTGCTGGGCAGTTGGGGGAGGGCTAGTCATGGAATGGAACTGTAAGCTGGACCGGGTGTGAGGAGGGGAGGTGATAAAAGGATTATAGGGTGGAGGAGCGGAGGCTGAGGAAGAATTGGGACCCAGCTCGGCCTGGCGAGGAGGGGAGATGTCAGATGGGTCTGTAGAAAAGGAAGATTAGAAAGACTCAGCGATGCTTGGGGTTGGGACTGACGGGACAGGCGGGAGGGAAAGAAGGAAGATTTGGGACGAGTTGCACTGGGCATAGAGACTAGGGAGGGACCGATGTGTAAAAGAATGCCTGGATGTCAGGCACCTCAGACCATTTGCCCATTTTACAACAAGAATTATTTAGATCTTGTAGGATGGAAAAATTGAAAGTGCCGTTTTCTGGCTATTTGGAACCACTGTCAAGTTTGTATTGGGGTCAAGCAGCATTGCAGAAGAAAATAAGGCATTTAGGTTTTAGGTCAGGTGTGAGTTGAAGAGGTTTTAGGTTTTTAAGAACACAGGCTAAGGGAGAAGAAGGAGGAATGGAGGGTGGAAGGTTGCCCATACTGAAGGAGGCAAGCACAGAGAAAAGAGAGAGTAGAGACATGGAGGGAAGGGGTTCAGGGGTTCTTACCTTCCAGAAAAGCGGGAAAGGGGTCAGGGCACAGAAGTAAGGGATTGGGGTGCAGAGACAAGAGGTCGGGGTGTGGAAATAAGGGATCGGGGTGCAGAGATAAGACGTCAGGGCACAGAAATAAGGGATCGGGGGATTCTTGCCCCCTAGAAAAGCGGTACTTGCCACTAAGGGTGAAGGAGAAGGGGTTGGGGGGTTCTTGCCCCCCCAGAAAAGCAGAGAAGGGGTAGAGACACAGAGAAGGAGTTGGGGGTTCTTGCCCCCCCAGAAAAGCAGTACTTGCCACTAAGGGTGAAGGACCAAGGCAGGCATCCCCATGTGGTCAGACACCTCTGAAACGTGGGTGAATAATCAGAGAGGTGTCCCTGCGTGATTAAACACCAAGGGAAGGCTGCCTTCCCGAGTCCATGACCGGCGCTGGAGTTTTGGGTCCACGAATAAAGCGCGTCTCCTGTCTCTACCAGAAAAGGAAAGGAACTGAAATTAAGAGAAGGGAGAGATTGAAGAGTGGAAAGGAGAAAGTGGTTGAGGGATAGTGAGAGAGGTTGGAGAAGAGAGTAAAAAGAGGCTGCTTACTGGATTTAAAATTGGTGAGATGTTCCTTGGGCTGGTTGGTCTGAGGACGAGAGGTCGTAGGTGGATCTTTCTCATGGAGCAAAGAGCAGGAGGACAGGGGATTGATCTCCTAAGGAAGATCCCCTGATTCGAGTTATGGCACCAAATTTCACTCACGTCCGTGTGAAGAGACCACCAAACAGGATTTGTGTGAGCAACAAGGCTGTTTATTTCACCTGGGTGCAGGCGGGCTGAGTCCAGAAAGAGAGTCAGCAAAGGGAGATAGGAGTGCGGCCGTTTTATAGGATTTGGGTAGGTAAAGGAAAATTACAGTCAAAAGGGGGTTGTTCTCTGGCGGGCAGGAGTGGGGTTCACAAGGTGCTCAGTAGGGGAGCTTTTGAGCCGGGATGAGCCAGGAGAAGGAATTTCATAAGATAATGTCATCACTTAAGGCAAGAACAGGCCATTTTCATTTCTTTCGTGGTGGAATGTCATCAGTTAAGGCAGGAACCGGCCATCTGGATGTGTACATACAGGCCACAGGGGGATATGATGGCTTAGCTTGGGCTCAGAGGCCTGACAGTCTGGATCACCTGACCTGGTGATCCGCACACCTCGGCCTCCCAAAGTGCTGGGATTACAGGCATGACCCACTGCACCTGGCCTTAGAAAACTTCTTAAATATTAAAATGTATGTTATGTGTATTTTGCCACAATTTTTGAAAAGTACCTTCTGGTGTTTAGAGACAGAAGATGAGTGGTTGCCTAGGGCCGGGAGAGTGAGGGGATCGTGGTGATGGGCAGCTGGTCGGCATGGGGTTCTGAAGGGCAGTGATGACAACATTCTAAAATTAGACTGTGTTGACGGTTGCACCAACTCCGTGAATACCACAAAATTTAAACCATTGAATTATGCACTTTTAATGGGTAATTGTATGGCATGTAAATTATATCTCAATAAAGTTATATTTTTAAATACCAAAAAAAGGCCGGGTGCGGTGGCTCACGCCTGTAATCCCAGCACTTTGGGAGGCCGAGAAGGGCGGATCACGAGGTCAGGAGATGGAGACCATCCTGGCTAACATGGTGAAACCCCATCTCTACTTTGAAAAAAAAAAAAAAAAAAAAAAGATTACCCGGACGTGGTGGTGGGCACCTGTAGTCCTAGCTACTCAGGAGGCTGAGGCAGGAGAATGGCATAAACTCGGGAGGCAGAGCTTGCAGTGAGTCGAGATTGCGCCACTCAGGAGGCTGAGGCAAGAGAATGGCATAAACCCCGGAGGCAGAGCTTGCAGCGAGCCGAGATTGCGCCACTGCACTCCAGCATGGGTGACAGAGCAAGAGTCCATCTCAAAAAAAAAAAAAAAAAGATTAGTAATATCCTCTGTGTCACTTACCACTTAAGTGATTGAATCACGACTTGAAATTCATCATCTCAAACATGGCTTAGAGTCTGTAGAGGGGGGACAGTCCCAGGAATGCTGGTGTGGGCTTAAGGCTGAATTAAATAGATCCAGATGGCTCACACCTGTAATCCCAATACCTTGGGAGGCCGAGGCAGGTGGGAGGCTGAGGCAGGCGGATCACTGGAGCTCCTGGAGCGAAGAAAGGATGCTAGTGGAAAAACTGGTGAAATCAGAATAAAGTCTATAGTTTTATTTTTTAAAGGAGGCTGGGCGTGGTGGCTCATGCCTCTAATCCCAGCACTTTGGGAGGCTGAGGCAGGTGGATCAGTTGAGTTCAGGAGTTCGAAACCAGCCTGGCCAACTTGACGAAACCCCATCTCTACTAGAAATACAAAAATTAGCTGGGCGTGGTTGTGGGTGCCTCTAATCCCAGCTACTCAGGAAGCTGAGGCAGGAGAATTGCTTGAACCCAGGAGGCGGAGGTTGCAGTGAGCTGAGATCACACCATTGCACTCCAGCCTGGGCTACAGAGCAAGATTCCATCTCCAAATAAGAGAGACATGACAATTAAATAAATTGTGTAATCTTGGATTAAATCCTAAACCAAATATATGTCACTGGTAAAACAAGTGGTGAAATTTGAATAAAGTGGATAGATCAGACAATAGTGTCATATCAGTGCTATTTCTTGACCTTGAACATTAATAACAGAATGTCCTTGGTTTTGGGAAATATAACCTGAAGTGATTAGAGGTTTAGGGCATCATATGCAAATTAGACACACTTTCTTCGGGGAGAGAGGGAGAGGGAGAGAGGCTGAATGATGAAGCAAATGTGGTAAAATGCTAACTTTGGGGAAATCTGGATGAAGAAATTACAGATTTTTTTTTTTTTTATAGACAGGGTAACACTCTGTCACCCAGGCTAGAGTGCAGTGGCACGATCATGGCTCACTGCAGCTTCTACCTCCCTGGGCTCAGATGACCCTCTCACCTCAGCCTCCCAAGTAGCTGGGACTATAGGCGCACAGCACCACACCTGGCTAATTTTTGCATTTTTTTTTCCCCCAGGCTCGTCTCAAGCAATCCACCCACCTCGGCCTCCCAAAGTGCTGGGATTACAGGTGTGAGCCACTGCACCTGGCCAGAAATTCTTTAAACTATTTTTGCAAGTCTGGAATTATGTCAAAATTAAAAGCTCAAAATAATAAAAGACAATATTCTTATATTTCTTTGGTGAAGGTAACTATGTTATGGCTGAGAGGGTGGCTGAGGTCTGAGGATCCAGCCTACATAAGTCTCCTCCATAGAGGGCATCCAAGCGCTCCGTAGGGGGAAGGATAAAGAAAACACCCAGAGTTATGACAGCTGTGTAAGGGGAAACGCCAGCACCGAGTACTGAATCTTCAGTAAATAAGAAGGAGGCGGGCTGGGTGTGGTGGCTCACGCCTGTAATCCCAGCACTTTGGGAGGCTAAAGTGGGCTGATCACTTGAGGTCAAGAGTTCGAGACTAGCCTGGCCAACATGGGGAAACCCTGTCTCTACTAAAAATACAAAAATTAGTCGAGTGTGGTGGCACACGCCTGTAATCCCAGCTACTTGGGAGGCTAGAACAGGAGAATTGCTTGAACCCAGGAGGTGAAGGTTGCAGTGAGCTGAGATTGCACCACTGCACCCCAGCTTGAGGGACAGAGTGAGATTCCGTCTTAAAGAGAAAAAAAAAAGAATTAGCACATTTGTTTGCCTCAAGAAGATACAACTAGTCTTGTACAGTAGTCACATGTATCCACCAGGATATATTCCAAGGCCCCAGTGGATGCTGAAAACTACATAGTACCTTACATGTATATATATATGTATATACATATATACACATATACGTATATGTATACATACATGTATATATGCATGTATGTATATACATATATGCATATATACATACATGTATATATACATGTATGTATATACATATATGTATATGTATGTATACACGCATACATGTATGTATACACGCATATATGTATGTATATACATATATGTATGTATACACGCATACATGTATGTATATACATATATGTATGTATACACGCATACATGTGTGTATACATATATATGCATGTATGCATGTGTGTATATATACATATATGTGTATATATACGCATATACATGTATGTGTATATATGCATGTGTATATATACATGTACGGTACTATGCAGTATATATACACATATATGTATATATGTATACATATATGTATAAATGTATATATGTGTATATATATAAAAGGTATATATGTATATATGTGTGTATATATAAAATGCATGAATTTCTTTTTTCTTACTGTAGATCTTAACAACTTCTGCATAGAATTTTTTTTTATTAAGTGGAGAGTTAGTTACTTACTTAAAAGAAATGTTTCTTGGCTGGGTGTGGTGGCTCACACCTGTAATCCCAGCACTTTGAGAGGCCGAGGCAGGAAGATTCACTTGAGGTGAGGAGTTGGAGACCATCCTGGCCAACGTGGTAAAAACCGGTCTCTACTAAAAGTACAAAAATGAGCTGGGCGTGGTGTTGGGTGTCTGTAGTCCCAGCTACTCAGGTGGCTGAGGCAGGAGAATTGCTTGAACCCACAAGGCAGAGGTTGCAGTGAGCTGAGATCACACCACTGCACCACAGCCTGGGCAACAGAGCAAGACTCTGTCTCAAAAAAAAAAAAAAAAGAAAGAAAAAGAAAAAGAAAAGAAATGTTTCTTTTCTTATTAAGTTCTTTAAATGAAAAGCTTTTCTTTTCACTTTTATTTTATTGAAACATTATAACACTATCTTTGAAGAAGTTAGTGTTATCATTCCATTCTGATGAAACCAATTAACTTATCCAAGCATATGTATACTGTACACAGAGAAGCCAACGTCAAAACCCCTATTTTTATCTTTTTAGATTCAGCAGATACATGTGCAGGTTTTTTATGAGTATATTGCATGATGCTGAGGCTTGCATTAATGATCTAGTCACCAAATAGGTAGATTTTCAAGCCTTGCTCCCCTCCTTACCCAATGTTTAGCGCTCTCACTTATAAGTGAGAACATGTGGTATTTGGTTTTCTTTTCTTTTTTTTTTTTTTTTTTGAGATGGAGTTTCACTCTTGTTGCCCAGGCTGGAGTACAATGGCACCATCTCGGCTCACTGCAACCTTCACCTTCCAGGTTCAAGCAATTCTCCTGCCTCAGCCTCCCGAGTAGTTGGGACTACAGGCATGTGCCACCACACCCGGCTAATTTTGAATTTTTAGTAGAGACAGGGTTTCTGCATGTTGGTCAGGCTGGTCTCGAACTCCCGACCTAAGGTGATCCACCTGCCTCAGCCTCCCAAAGTGCTGGGATGACAGGCGTGAGCCACCGTGTCTGGCCAGTATTTGGTTTTCTGTTTCTGTGTTAACTCGCTTAGGATAATGGCCTCTAGCTGCATCCATGTTGCTGCAAAGGACATAATCTTGTGATTTTTCAAGGCTGTATAGCGTTCTGTGGTGTATACATATCACATTGTCTTTATCCAGTCCACCTCTGATGGGACCTGGGTGGATTCCATGTCTTCACTATTGTGAATCCTGCTGCAATGAACATACAAGTGCATGTGTCTTTTTGGTAGAATGATTTATTTTCCTTTGGCTATATACCCAGCGATGGGATTGCTGGGCTGAATGGTAACTCTGTTTGTAGTTCTCTGAAATATCTCCAAACCAAACTGCTTTCCACAGTGGCTGAACTAATTTACACCCACCAACAGTGTATAAGTGTCCCCTTTGCTCCACAATCTCACCAGCATCTGTTAATTTCTGGCTTTTCAGTAATGGCCATTCTGACTGGTGTGAGATGGTATTGTTGAGGGATAATTTAGGAATCAGAGAGACCGAGGGGTTGAGGAGGATTTATTATTATTATTATTATTTAGGTGCACCGGCCCCAGTCAGATTAACATCCAAAAAGACTGAGGCTCGAACAGAGAGTCCGGTTACCTTTTAAGCATTTTGTGGGGTTGGGGGAGATCTGTGCAGGGGGAAGCATATTACAGAAGCAAGAAACAAAGGCAGTTATTCAATTGAGACATGCATCACATTATTCCTTACTTTTCAAGAAAAATATGTTTTACGACTTGAGGTTATCCTGTCTAGTGATCTTGCAGCCGCACGGCAAGAGAAACAGGGTCTTCACAATGCCTGGGAAAGGGAGAGATAAGGCTCACTAGCCACAGACAGAAAAACAGGCAGTTCATGTTTAAAGGACTCCACCTCTTTCTCTTCCTCGGGGGGAACTGGGTTTTCTTAAATACAACTGAGTTTTTGTTTACACATTCTGTAATTTCTTTTAATTCCTGTTCCAGTATCTCACTGTGAAACTCCCTATGTTTTTATACGATTCTCAGGGGGTTTCCTCTGGGCATGATTGGGCACAACTTCCCACAGTCAGCTCTGGGTACGACCTCCACATTGCAGAATTGAGAAGTTGACCCAGAAATGCATTTTGGGCTGAGCAGACAATTGTCAGAGTTGCTGGCTAGACCACAGATGTGTCAGAGGGACCACGGCCTTTCTGTAAGCTCATGGTCAGAGGCGGAGGGGAGTTGTGAACGTTCTGATGAAAGCAGTCAACGTGAAAGCGCTCTGGTGATGGGCGCTGGTGCTCACCCACCACTTCCTGTGTATCTATCTCCCTGGCCCGCCCGGCTCAGTCCCCACTGCTCAGCACTAGGCCGGCAGAATCTGAGCGATGTCTTCCACACTCCCTGCCCTGCTCTGCGTCGGTGAGTTCTGGCGTGGAAGGGGAATGGGATCACGGTGTGCCTGGGAGGCAACAGGTCTCATTACTCCCGTCTTCCAGGGCTGTGTCTGAGTCAGAGGATCAGCGCCCAGCAGCGTGAGTCCTTCCTTCAAAGCCCAGGGTCACTCTTCCGGGTTCAGGCCAAGCTCCTTCCACCCAAGCACGGCTGGGGAGAGGGGACAGGGTGCTGGCTTCCCAGGAGAGCTTGGGGCCAGCAGCTGGGTGGAGCCTAAGGTTGGGGGGAGGGGGCTCCGCTGGAACTCCAGCCTCTGATTCCCTTCCAGAGACTCTCCCAAAACCGTTCATCTGGGCCGAGCCCCATTTCATGGTTCCAAAGGAAAAGCAAGTGACCATCTGTTGCCAGGGAAATTATGGGGCTGTTGAATACCAGCTGCACTTTGAAGGAAGCCTTTTTGCCGTGGACAGACCAAAACCCCCTGAGCGGATTAACAAAGTCAAATTCTACATCCCGGACATGAACTCCCGCATGGCAGGGCAATACAGCTGCATCTATCGGGTTGGGGAGCTCTGGTCAGAGCCCAGCAACTTGCTGGATCTGGTGGTAACAGGTAACTGTCCGGTTCTCTAACTGGAGAGTGATCTCAGTCTGCATCCGGGATGCAGCATCATCTATGAACTCTTCCAAGCCCCACTCAGACACTGCTTGTCTCGGTAGGAGGCTGGAAGGAGGGGTGATCCCCATCACAATCCTTGCCTACAAGGGGTTGTCTGCAGACCGTGTCTCTACGTCCTAGGAGCAGATGTGTCCTCAGTCAGTTTCTCCATGACACAGATTCTGAGATAGATATTTGTATGCAGGGGTATGACTGAGGAATGTCCTCAAAAACAATGCCTGTGGGCTAGGCGCAGTGGCTTACACTTTGCTTCCCTCACCCATCACAGGTGGTGGGTTTTTTTTTTTTTTATCTGTTTTGAGACGGAGTTTCGCTCTTGTCACCCAGGCTGGAGTGCAGTGGTGCAATCTCCAGTCACTGCAACCTCCACCTCCTGGGTTCAAGTGATTCTCCAGCCTCAGCTTCCCAAGTAGCTGGGATCACAGGCACCCACCACTACGCCACATTTTGTATTTTTAGTAGAGATGGGGTTTCACCATGTTGGCCAGGGTGGTGTCGAACTCCTGACCTCAGATGATCCGCCCGCCTCACCCTCCCAAAGTGCTGGGATTACAGGTGTGAGCCATCACACCCAGCCAGGTGGTGGTTTTCTAAAAAAAAAAAAAAAAATTAGCTTTTTTTTTTTTTAACAATATGGTTGTTTATTATTATTATCAAGTATTATACATAGTTACATATACATACATAATTGTATGTGCTATACAATTAGGTTTGTTTATACCAGCAACACCAAAAACACATGAGCAATACTTTGTGCTAGGAAGGCTATGATGTCATCAGGCAATAGGAATTTTTCAGTTTCATTATAATCTTATGGGACCACCATCATATATGTGGTACATTGTTGGCCAAAATGTCATTATGCAGCTCACAACAGTATTTCATGTCCATTCAAATATCTTCTTTTGTGAAATGTCTATTTAAATCTTTTGCCTATTTTTAAATTGGGTTGCTTATATTTTGATTGATTAGGAAAAGTTATTTCTATATTCTGTGTCATATACTTGTGTTGAAATATATATATTTTTTGTCTGTGCCTTTTCATTTGCTCAGGGTCTTTGGACCTTGTTTGGAGGTTCTGGCAGGGGAACACAGCTACTCATTTATTCTTTTTTTTTTAATTTTTTTAGTATTTATTGATCATTCTTGGGTGTTTCTCGGAGAGGGGGATTTGGCAGGGTCATAGGACAATAGTGGAGAGAAGGTCAGCAGATAAACATGTGAACAAAGGTCTCTGGCTTTCCTAGGCAGAGGTCCCTGCGGCCTTCCGCAGTGTTTGTGTCCCTGGGTACTTGAGATTAGGGAGTGGTGATGACTCTTAAGGAGCATGCTGCCTTCAAGCATCTGTTTAACAAAGCACATCTTGCACCGCCCTTAATCCATTTAACCCTGAGTGGACATAGCACATGTTTCAGAGAGCACGGGGTTGGGGGTAAGGTCATAGATTAACAGCATCCCAAGGCAGAAGAATTTGTCTTAGTACAGAACAAAATGGAGTCTCCTATGTCTACTTCTTTCTACACAGACACAGTAACAATCTGATCTCTCTTTCTTTTCCCCACATTTCCCCTTTTTCTATTCGACAAAACCGCCATCGTCATCATGGCCCATTCTCAATGAGCTGTTGGGTACACCTCCCAGACGGGGTGGCGGCCGGGCAGAGGGGCTCCTCACTTCCCAGACGGGGCGGCCGGGCAGAGGCGCCCCCCCACCTCCCAGACGGGGCAGTGGCCGGGCGGGGGCTGCCCCCCAACCTCCCGGACGGGGCGGCTGGCCGGGGCTTTTTTTTTTTTTTTTTGAGACAGTCTCGCTGCAGTGCAGTGGTACAATCTCAGCTCACTGCAACCTCTGCCTCAGCCTCAATTCTCCTGCCTCAGCCTCCCAAGTAGTTGAGATTACAGGCATGTGCCACCACACCCGGCTAATTTTTGCATTTTTAGTAGAGACGGGGTTTCACCATGTTGACCAGGCTGGTCTCAAACTCCTGACCCAGGAGGTCGAGTCTTCAGTAAGCAAAGATAGTGCCACGGCGCTCCAGCCTGGGAAACAGAGCAAGACCCTGTATCATTTTTAAAAATGGTTTTAGACGGTAAATCTTCTATTGTGTGTATTTGACCAAAATAATAATTAAAAAAAAAAAAAAAGCTGGCTGCCAGGCATGGTGGCAGGCCCCTGTAGTCCCAGCTACTTGGGAGGGTGAGGCAGGAGAAACGCTTGAACCCGGGAGGCAGAGGTTGCAGTGAGCCAAGATCGTGTCACTGCACTCCAGCCTGGGCGACAGAGAGAGACTCCATCTCTAAAGAAAGAAAAAAAAAAATAGCTGGCTGCTCATCACTGAGTTTCTGGTGTGGTGGCCCCACCTTCTCTCATAGAAATGTATGACACACCCACCCTCTCGGTTCATCCTGGACCCGAAGTGATCTCGGGAGAGAAGGTGACCTTCTACTGCCGTCTAGACACTGCAACAAGCATGTTCTTACTGCTCAAGGAGGGAAGATCCAGCCACGTACAGCGCGGATACGGGAAGGTCCAGGCGGAGTTCCCCCTGGGCCCTGTGACCACAGCCCACCGAGGGACATACCGATGTTTTGGCTCCTATAACAACCATGCCTGGTCTTTCCCCAGTGAGCCAGTGAAGCTCCTGGTCACAGGTGAGGAAATGCTCAATTCCCCACACCCTTCGCCGCCATGTCCTACCTGGAGCCCTGAGGGATCCCCAGAGAGTGATGGGGAGGGTGTCCAAGGGACGTCCACTTCCTGGGTGCCTGGTTGGTCATGTGAGGAAGAACACCAGAAGCAGGAAGGAGGAGGGAGCAGAGAAAGGAATGGTAAGGCGGGTGGATCACAAGGTCAGGAGTTCGAGACCAGCCTGGCCAAGACGGTGAAACCCCGTCTCTACTAAAAATACAGAAATTAGCCAGACGCAGTGGCGGACACCTGTAGTCCCAGCTACTCAGGAGGCTGAGGCAGGAGAATCGCTTGAACCCGGGAGGCGGGGGTTGTAGTGAACCGAGATCATACCACCGCACTGCAACCTGGGCGACAGAGCAAGACTCCATCTCAAAAAAAAAAAAAAAAAAAAAAAGAATGGCAAGACCGGAGGAAACCAAAAACCCTTACTTTTTTTTCTTTATCTCCTTTTCCAGGCGACATTGAGAACACCAGCCTTGCACCTGAAGACCCCACCTTTCCTGGTGAGTAACTGGTCCTTCTAAGCTCAGACGAGCAATCAGAGCCTCCCAGTGACACTAAAAACGTGGCATTCATTCAAAATATTCATCGAGGCCAGGCGTGGTGGCTCACGCCTGTAATCCCAGCACTTTGGGAGGCCGAGATGGTGCATCATTTGAGGTCAGGAGTTTGAGACCAGCCTGGCCAACATGGCGAAACCCTGTCTCTACTAAAAATACAAAACTTAGGCTGGGCATCATGGCTCACACCTGTAATCCCAACACTTCGGGAGGCCAAGGTGGTTGGATCACAAGGTCAGGAATTCGAGACCAGCCTGACCAACATGGTGAAACCCCATCTCTACTAAAAATACAAAAATTAGCCGGGCCTGGTGGTGCTCGCCTGTAATCCCAGCTACTCAGGAGGCTGAGGCAGGAGAATTGTTGAACCTGGGATGCAGAGGTTGCAGTGAGCTGAGATCGCGCCACTGCATTCCACTCCACTGCACGACACAGCGAGACTCCATCTCACAGAAAAACAAAAACAAAACTATTATATATATATATTCATCAAGTGCATAGTATACACAGTGAACTACACTGTAACAGTCAGCCAGGCAGATATCTTGACTCTGCAGCACTTAGATTCTAGCAGGAGGAGACACACCATCGGTCAACGTCAGGATAGCACACAGGAGGGAATGATGCTATGGAAGGAAAAGACAAAGTAGAACAGACTTACAGTGATTGAAATGGCAGCTAGCAATATTAAATAGGTTTGTCCAGATGGACCTCACAGAGAAAGAAGGCATCTGAGCAAATGCGTTCAGACTTGAGTTAATCATGTGGCTGTCAGGAGAAAGGAGGCTCTGGAGAGAATGAAATGGCATCTGCCTGTGCCCTGGGGCAGGAAGATAACTGGGGTAATACAATAATAACTATGAGGCCAGGAGGGTTGAAAATGATGTTTGGAAGATGACGGTGGGATGGGCCTGGGGCGCACGGCTAGGATTACAGGAGTGAGGCCCGGCGCGGTGGCTCACGCCTGTAATCCCAGCACTTTGGGAAACCGAGGCAGGTGGGTCATGAGGTCAGGAGATCAAGACCATCCTGGCTAACACGGTGAAACCCTGTCTCTACTAAAAAAAAATACAAAAATTATCCGGGCGTGGTGGCGGGCGCCTGTAGTCCCAGCTACACAAGAGGCTGAGGCAGGAGAATGGCGTGAACCCGGGAGACGGAGCTTGCAGTGAGCTGAGATCGCGCCACTGCACTCCAGCCTGAGCGACAGAGTGAGACTCCGTCTCAAAAAAAAAAAAAAAGAAAAAGAAAAAGAAAAAAAAATAGTGAGACTTTGAATTTCACTATGTGTGTATGTGTGAGGAGAAAGAGGTAATGATGACTTAATGAGGAAAATGAGGCTTAAATAGAAGACGGGCTGGGCCGGGTGGCTCCCGCATGTAATCCCAGCACTTTGGAAGGCAGGGGCGGCTGGATCACTTGAGGTCAGGAGTTCAAGACCAGCCTGGCCAACACAGTGAAACCCCATCTCTACTAAAAATACAAACATGAGTTGGGTGTGGTGGCGCACGCCAGTAATTACAGCTACTCGGGGCTGAAGCAAGAGGATTGCTTGAACTCGGGAGGCGGAGGTTGCAGTGAGCTGAGATCACACCACTGTACTCCAGCCTCAGAGGCCTGTCATCCCAGCCCTTTGGGAGGCCGAAGCAGGCAGGTCATCTGAGGTTGGGAGTTCAAGACCAGCCTGGCCAACATGGCAAAACCCCGTTTCTACTAAAAATATGAAAAAAATTACCTGGGTATGTGGTGTGTGCCTGTAGTCCCAGCTACTCCAGAGGCTGGAACACAGTGAGACTCTATCTCAAAAAAAAAAAAAATAGAAGACATGACTGGTGCAAAGACACATGCTCACAAGTGCTAGAATGGAATTCCTCGTCAGGTTCGTCCATCTGTGGACCCTTCCACTTTACCTGCTGGATGAAGCTCCTGGGACCCGCAGGGTGAGGTGGGACCTTGTAAAGCTGCAGAACGTCATGGGGTAGACCCAAGGGAAGGAGTGCTGGGGTGGAGGAGGTCAAAACCATCCTCTTTTCTTCACTTCCCTTATCATCAGCAGACACTTGGGGCACCTACCTTTTAACCACAGAGACGGGACTCCAGAAAGGTAAGTAGACAGCTGGGGCCATAGGCTCTGAAGGAAGGGGCTGGGCATAGAGTAGACCTAGGAAGGGAATCTAAATGGGAACAAGAGGGTGTCCTTGGCCAGGCGCAGTAGCTCACACCTGTAATCTCAGCCCTTTGGGAGGCCGAGGCGGGCAGATCATCTGAGGTCGGGAGTTCAAGACCAGTCTGGCCAACATGGCGAAATCCCATCTCTACTAAAAATACAAAAAAATTAGCCAGGCGTGGTGGCGTGTGCCTGTAGTCCCAGCTACTTGGGAGGCTGAGACAGGAGAATAGCTTGAACCCAGGAAGTGGAGGTTGCAGTGAGCCGAGATCGTGCCATTGCACTCCAGCCTGGGCGACAAGACTGAGGCTCTGTCTCAAAAAAAAAAAAAAAAAAAAAAAAAAAAAAAAAAAAAAAGAGGGTGTCCTTACATCCCTGTCAGCGATCACCCTGTTCTCCTGCCTACAGACCATGCCCTCTGGGATCACACTGCCCAGAATCTCCTTCGGATGGGCCTGGCCTTTCTAGTCCTGGTGGCTCTAGTGTGGTTCCTGGTTGAAGACTGGCTCAGCAGGAAGAGGACTAGAGAGCGAGCCAGCAGAGCTTCCACTTGGGAAGGCAGGAGAAGGCTGAACACACAGACTCTTTGAAGAATGACCATGAGACACAGTGGCCATGGGTGGATCTGAAAGCTGGTGTTGAGCCTGGGCGGCGTGAGCTCTGTGTTGGACCCACGGAGGAGGGAGTCACTGCAGGGAAAGAGGGACACTGGCATTCCATTTGTCAGAGCATCCCGGACGATGCAGAGGGTGGGAGAACTACATGCTAAATTTCTTTTTTTTTTTTTTTGAGACAGAGTTTTCTCTTGTTGCCCAGGCTGGAGTGCAATGGCGCGATCTTGGCTCACTGCAACCTCTAGCTCTCCATCCCTCGGGTTCAAGTGATTCTCCTGCCTCAGCCTCCTGAGTAGCTGGGATTACAGGCATGTGCCACCACCCCAGCTAATTTTGTATTTTTAGTGGAGACGGGGTTTCTCCCTGTTGGCTGGTCTCGAACTCCTGACCTCAAGTGATCTCCCCGCCTTGGCCTCCCAAAGGGCTGGGATTACAGGCATAAGCCGCTGCGCCCAGCCACTGAATTTCTTCTGTAGACAAATCCTATGGTCTCTTCTAGGCTCTAACTATTTTTGTACCACTTACTGCAAACCATACTTTTAACCACTCTGGTCTTTTCTGAAAAGATCTCTCCTTCTTTAACAGGATGGCCATGGAAATATTTTTTTCCTACTTTGGTCTTTTTTTCTTTCCTTTCTCTGCAGGAAGCCATTCAAAATAGTTAATAACCAATATAGAATAGGTCTGTATCAAATGGTTCAGGAGGCATTGTGGCAACAACCAGTTGTAGAGAAGCAGCTTTATAAGTGAATCCTGCCAGGCACGGTGGCTCACACCTGTAATCCCAACACTTTGGGAGGCTGAGGCGGGCAGATCACCTGAGGTCAGGAGTTCGAGACCAGCCTGGCCAACATGATGAAACCCCATCTCTACTAAAAATACAAAAACTCGGCCAGGCACGGTGGCTCATGCCTGTAATCCCAGCACTTTGGGAGGCCAAGGTGGGAGGATCACCTGAGGTCAGGAGTTCGAGAGCAGCCTGGCCAACATGGTGAAACCACATCTCTACTAAAAATATAAAAATTAGCCAGGTATGGTGGCGTGTGCTTGTAATCCCAGCTACTCAGGAGGCTGAGGCAGGAGAATAGCTTGAACCCGGGAGGCGGAGGCTGCAGGGAGCCAAGATCGCACCACTGCACTCCAGCCTACGTGACAGAGCAAGATTCTGTCTCAAAAAAAAAAAGAAAAAAAAAAAATAAGTGACTCCTGGCTGCATCCCAACCATACCCCAATTCCTTCTAACCACAGAATTATTCCATCTTCTCTTCCTTTTTTTTTTTTTTCTTTTTTTTTGTTTGTTTTGTTGGGACAGAATTTCACTTTTTTTTTTTTTAATGTAAGTTTTAGGGTACATGTGCACAACGTGCAGGTTAGTTACATATGTATACATGTGCCATGTTGGTGTGCTGCACCCACTAACTCGTCATTTAACATTAGGTATATCTCCTAATGCTATCCCTTCCCCCGAGTTTCACTTTTGTCACCCAGGCTGGAATGCAGTGGTGCAATCTTGGCTCACTGCCACCTCCACCTCCAGGGTTCAAATGATTCTCCTGCCTCAGCCTCCTGAATAGCTGGGATTATAGGCATGCACCACCACGCCCGGCTAATTTTTGTATTTTTAGTAGAAATGGGGTTTCACAATGTTGGCCAGACTGGTCTTGAACTCCTGACCTCAGGTGATCCACCAGCCTCGGCCTCCCAAAGTGCTGGAATTACAGGTGTGAGTCACCGTACCCGGCCACCATCTTTGCTTCTTTATCCACACCTTGCCTTGTTCTTCAGGGCTCTGCAGAGATATCATTTCCTCCAAGAGTTTCCACAACTCCGACTTCACAAAGATAGCACTTTTTTTTTTTTTTTTGAGACAGTCTCACTCTGTAGCCCAAGCTGGCGTGCAGTGGCACAATCTCAGCTCACTGCAACCTTCGCCTCTGGGGCTCAAGCGATTCTCCTTCCTCAGCCTCCCAAGTAGCTGGGACTAGAGGCGCGCGCCACCACACCCGGTTAATTTTTTTTGCATCTTTAGTAGAGGTAGGGTTTCATCATGTTGCCCTGGGTGGTCTCAAACTCCTGAGTTCAGGTGATCCCCCCGCCTTGGCCTCTCAAAGTGCTAGGATTACAGGCGTGAGCCACTGCGCCCAGCCAAGACAACACTTTCCTCATCCCAAAGCACCTGTTAATTCCCTGTAACAGCACTTGAACCCTGATTCGGCATGCATGTCCATTTTCCTGCCTCTACCGTGAACTCGTGTGAATTGATCTATGTCAGATTTAGTGGCTGCATTCACAGCTCCCGCAACTATAACGGGGTTCTCGGGAAATATATATCAAATGAGTGAATGTATATACGGGGCTGTGGCACAGCCTGCAACTTGAGACTTCTCACTAGGGGTCTTGAAATGCTGTCTGGACACCACCATCGCTTTCCTCCCTGAGAACTTCTACTTATCAACCCATTTATATACTCATCGCATGGGTCCTCACGCCCTCCCATTATTCTGGTGCCTCATGCCGGTCAAATTTATTCTCTAAATCTGATTTTTCCATTAAATAGCAGCCTGGCCAACACGGTAAAACCCCATCTCTACTAAAAAATACAAAATATTAGCCAGGCGCAGTGGCTTGCACCCGTAATCTCAGCTACTCGGGAGGCTGAGGCAGCAGAATCACTTGAACCCGGGAGGCAGAGGTTGTGGTAAGCCGAGATTGCACCACTGCACTCCAGCCTGGTAACAGAGCGAGACTCCCTCTCAAAATAAATAAACTGCTGACTCGCGTATTTTTTCTTTACCCCAACTCATTCCTTACATGTAGGCACCTGTAATCCTAGCTACTCAGAAGGCTGAGGCAGGAGAATCGCTTGAACCTGGGAGGCGGAGGTTGCGGTGAGCCAAAATCGTGCCACTGCACTCCAGCCTGGGCGACAGAGCGAGACTCCATCTCAAAAAAAAAAAAAAAAAAACCACATAGGCTCAGTCTTTTCAGTATCTGCTTTACTGGTTCAGTAAAAGCCAGGAAACACAACTTTGTGGTAATCTGAATGTTATTGAACTGTATTTTGTTCACTTTATTGTAAATACTAGTGAACAGTGAATAAATGGTTGTATATTCCTAATAAGAAAAAAAAAAAAAAAGACCCAAAGTACAGCGAGCTGATGCCGATCTCATTTCGCAGAGGTCCGCCTGCTCTCCCCTCTCCAAGAGTGTAATCCTATGCTTAATAAACTTATGCCGCTTTGCTATGTGTGTGTATCACACCCAATTCTTTGTTCGAAACACCAAGGGCCTGGAACTTCACAGCTTTGGCTGGTAACGGGGAGCAGGGGTAAAGACATTTAAAAGCTGCTTGTGTTAACCATAATCGCCATCCCATATATCAGACCCCCAGAACTAACTCATCTTATAACTGAATATTGTGCTTTTTTTTTTTTTTTTTTTTTGAGACGAAGTCCTGCTCTGTCACCCAGGCTGGAGTGCAGTGGCGCGATCTTGACTCTGCAACCTCCGCCTCCCGGGTTCAAGCGATTCTCCTGCCTCAGCCTCCCGAGTAGCTGGGACTACAAGTGCGTGCCACCACGCCCGGCTAATTTTTGTATTTTTAGTAGAGACGGGGTTTCTCCATGTTGGTCTCAAACTCCTGGTCTCAGGTGATCCACCCGCCTTGGCCTCCCAAAGTGCTGGGATTACAGACGTGAGCCACCACACCCAGCTACTTGTGCTTTTTGACCAACATCTTCCTCTCCTACCACCCCCAGCCCCTGATAACCTCCACCTACTCTCACTTCTAGGAGATCAACTGTTCTATTTTTTTTTTTTTTTTTTTTTTTTTGAGTCTCGCTCTGCACACCCAGGCTGGAGTGCAGTGCTGCAATCTCGGATCACTGCAACCTCCGCTTTCCGGGTTCAAGCGATTCTCCTGCCTCAGCCTCCAGAGTCGCTGGGATTACTGAGCCACCGCGCCCAGCCAGAAGACCCACGCTCCCTAAGACATAACCCACACTGGTGGCCTTTGTTCTGACTTCTCACCTGTGCTCCCCACCCGCTAGAAACTGGCTTCTCTCCCCACACTTCCTCTGAAGCTGTCTGTGTGACCAACACTAATGAGCTTCCTTCCTGGAACATGCAGTGACCCTTTTCAGCCCTTCTCATTATTGCTCCCCCACAGTTGTATTTGACACGTTGACCACTTCCTCCTCGAAGGACTCACTTCTCTGGCTTTCTCGGACACTTCTTGCTACTCGTTTTCTGACGGTTACAGTACCAACAGGTTTGCAGGCACCTCCACCACCAGAGCCAATCCCAGCTACTCGGGAGGCTGAGGCAGGAGAATCGTTCAAACCCGGGAGGCAGAGGTTGCAGTGAGTCGAGATTGCGCCACTGCACTCCAGCCTGAGTGACAGACTGTGACTCCTCAAAAAAAAACAAAAACAAAAACAAAAAAACTACAGTCTTGCTCTGTCGCCCAGGATGGAATGCAGTGGTGCCATCTTGGCTCACTGCAACCTCTGCCTGCTGGGGTCTAGCGATTCTCCTGCCTCAGCCCCCCAAGGAGCTGGGACTACAGGCATGTGCCGCCACGCCTGGCTAATTTTTGTATTTTTAGTGGAGATGGGGGTTTTACCATGTTAGCCAGGTTGGTCTTGAACTCCCGACCTCATGTGATCCGCCCACCTTGGCCTCCCAAAGTGCGAGGATTACAGGCCCCCGCACCCAGCCTAGGATCCTGCACCTCTCTAGCCTAGCAGTTCTCTGCTGGGTGATTTTGCTCTCCACTCCAGGGGACATTTGGCAATGCCCATGGTAATTTTTAATTGTCATGACTTGGGGAGGGGTTCTACTGGCATCTGGTAGGTAGGGTCCAGGGGTGCTGCTCAGCTTCCTACAATGCCCAGGGCAGCCCCAGATGGCAGCAGCACCAAGGCTGAGAAACACTGGCTCATGCAGAAAGCAACCACCTTACACCCTTCAGTGCAGGGACAAAGGCAGGGTTACGAGTCCACGGAAACTCTCCAGTCTCAGCCTACGTAAGACGTGGCTATTTTTCTTTCTTATTGTTTTTATTCATTTATTTTTCTTGAGACAGAGTCTTGCTCTGTCGCCCAGGCTGGACTGCAGTGGCGCGATCTCTGCTCACTGCAAGCTCCGCCTCCCGGGATCACACCATTCTCCTGGGACTACAGGCGCCCGCCACCTAGCCCGGCTAATTTTTTGTATTTTTAGTAGAGACGGGGTTTCACCATGTTAGCCAGGATGGTCTCGATCTGACCTCGTGATCCTCCCGCCTCGGCCTCTCAAAGTGCTGGGATTACAGGTGTAAGCCACCGCACCCGGCCTTATTCATTTATTTTTTGAGATAGAGTCTGAGCCCTTTATTTTATTTATTTAGAGACCAAGTCTCGCTCTGTTACCCAGGCTGGAGTGCAGTGTCGTGGCCTCAGCTCACTGCAACAACCTCCGCCTCCCGGGTTCAAGCGATTCTCCCACCTTGGCCTCCCAAAGTGCTGGCATTACAGACACCCACTACCATGCCTGGCTAATTTTTTGTACTTTTAGTAAGTAAAGACAGGGTTTCACCATCTTGGTCAGGATGGTCTCGAACTCCTGGCCTCAAGTGATCGGCCCGCCTGGGTCTCCCAAAGTGATGAGATTACAGGCGTGAGCGACCACACTGGCCTAATGTGTAGTTTTTTATCTGTGGCCTCCCTTCTGCCCTCCCCCTTCTGAGACTCTGAAGCCCATTACATCACTCTGCCTTTGTGTACCAACAGCTTAGCTCCCACTGAGAACATACAGAGCCAGGCACGGTGGCGGTGGCTCACGCCTGTAATCCCATCACTTTGGGGGTGCTGAGGCAGGTGTATCGCCTGAGGCCAGGAGTTCAAGACCAGTCTGGCCAACATGGTGAAACCCCATCTCTACTAAAAATAGAAAAATACATAGCTGGGTGTGGTGGCACGTGCCTATAATCCCAGCTACTAGGGAGGCTGAGGTTGGAGAATCGCTTGAACCCAGGAGGCGGAGGTTGCGGTGAGCCAAGATCACACCATTGCACTCTAGCCTGGGCAACAAGAGCAAAACTGTCTTAAAAAAAAAAAAAAAAAGTGAGAACATATGGATTCTACTCCTGTTAGAATAATGGCCTCCAGCTCCATCCAAATTGCTGGAAATGACATTATTTCATTCCTTCTAATGGCTGAATAGTATTCCATGGTACATAGACACCACGTTTTCTTTATCCACTGTAGGGACCAGCCCCACAGGGTCGGTGGGTCTCTCCCTGTGTGCGGCGACGAGAGAGTGTAGAAATAAAGACACAAGACAAAGAGACAAGAGAAAAGGCAGCTGGGCCCGGGGGACCACTACCACCAATGCGCGGAGACCGGTAGTGGCCCCGAATGTCTGGCTGCGCTGTTATTTATTGGATACAAGGCAGAAGGGGCAGGGTAAAGAGTGTGAGTCACCTCCAATGATAGGTAAGGTCACGTGGGTCACGTGTCCACTGGACAGGGGGCCCTTCCCTGCCTGGCAGCCGAGGCAGAGAGGGAGAGGAGACAGAGAGAAAGACAGCTTACGCCATTATTTCTGCATATCAGGGACTATTAGTACTTTCCCTAATTTACTACTGCTATCTAGAAGGCAGAGCCAGGTGTACAGGATGGAACATGAAGGCGGACTAGGAGCGTGACCACCGAAGCACAGCATCACAGGGAGACGGTTAGGCCTCCGGATAACTGCGGGCGAGCCTGACTGATGTCAGGCCCTCCACAAGAGGTGGAGGAGCAGAGTCTTCTCTAAACTCCCCCGGGGAAAGGGAGACCCCCCCCCCCACCCGCTGCCCCTTTCCCGGTCTGCTAAGTAGCGGGTGTTGTTAATTGACACCTTTTGCTACCGCTGGACCATGATCCGCTTGGTGACGGGTGTCTTCCCAGACGCTGGCGTCACCGCTAGACCAAGGAGCCCTCTGGTGGCCCTGTCCGGGCATAACAGAAGGCTCGCACTCTTGTCTTCTGGTCACACCTCACTATGTCCCCTCAGCTCCTATCTCTGTATGGCCTGGTTTTTCCTAGGCTATGATTATAGAGTGAGGATTATTATAATATTGGAATAAAAAGTAATTGCTACCGGCTAATGATTAATGATACTCATATATAATCATATCTAAGATCTATATCTGGTATAACAATTCTTGTTTTATATTTTATTATACTGGAACAGCTCGTGTCCTCTGTCTCTTGCCTCGGTGCCTGGGTGCCTTGCCGCCCACAATCCACTCATTATTCAATGGGCACTTCGGTTGGTTCCACATCTTTGCAATTGTGAATGGCTGAGCCAGCCATTCTTAACTGGGGGTGATTTTGTCCCCATGGGGGTATCTGGCCACATCCCGAGAGGTTTTTTGGTTGTCACGAGTTGCAGTGGGGGCAGGCTCAGGCTCATCCAAGTCCAGGGGTGCTGCTATACATCACGTGATACACAGGACAGTCCTTGCTACGGACTGAATTGGTCCCACCAAACGTCATGTACAAGCCCTACCCCAGATGTGACTCTATTTGGACACAGGGCTTTTCAGAGGTAATTAAGGCTGGTCAGGCGCCGTAATCACAGCACTTTAGGAGTTCTGTGTTTATTACTGGTAAGTGGGTAAGAGCCCAGTGTGGCAGCTCACGCGTGTAATCCCAGCACTTTGGGAAGCGAAGGCAAGGGGATAACTGGAGGCCAGCAGTTCAAGACAAGCCTGGTCAATACAGCAAGACTCCATCTCTATAAAATATTTTAAAATTAGCCAAGCATGTTTGGCATGCACCTGTAATCCCAGCTCAGGAGGCTCAGGTGGGAGGATTCCTTGAGTTTAAGGCTGCAGTGAGCTAAGATCGCACCATTGCACTCCAACCCGGCTGTGGGCAACACAGCACCACCACCATCTTGGCTGGGCACGGTGGCTCACGCCTGTCATGCCAGCACTTTGGGAGGCCGAGGCGGGTGGCTCACCTGAGGTCAGGAGTTTGAGACTAGCCTGGCCAACATGGTGAAATCACGCCACTGCACTCCAGCCTAGGCAACCAAGTGAGACTCTGTCCGCCCCACCACCCCACCAAAAAAAAGACTACTATCTTAAACAAAATCAAAATTTTTAAGTAGATAAAATATTTAGGGGAAAAAAACTTCAATTAAATATGCAGCAGAGTCCGACCCAGATGTTTTCACTCCCAGCCTCTACCTACTATCTTTGTGTCTTTATTTTTAGCAAATTCTACACGGGAACTTCATGTGCATGTAGAACCCTAAATGTTGACTCAGCCCTACCTCTCATCACCTGACCACTTCCTTTATTCACGCTGTCTCTACCACCCTTCCCATCGGTGTGAGCTGTATCCCGCTAAACACTGTTACCACCCACAGCCTGCATTACTACCAGCTGACTGTAGCCTTAAACACCACAGTGATCTCGAGCATTTGAGAAGACTTATCTTGACAAGGGCTCACGAAAGACAGCAATGCTCAACAGCAAGATAAATGAGGGCCTTCATGGGATCATTCAGTGCTGAAGCCACTCAACCTCCAGGTTTGGGTTAGTAAAAAGAACTTTGTCAGGCCAGGCACAGTGGCTCACGCCTGTCATCCCAGCACTTTGGGAGGCCAAGGCGGGCAGATCACCTGAGGTCAGGAGTTCAAGACCAGCCTGGCTAACATGGTGAAACCTCGTCTTTACTAAAAATACAAAAATTAGCCAGGCATGGTGACGCACACCTCTAGTCTCAGCTACTCCGGAGGCTGGGACAGAAGACTCACTTGAACCCAGGAGGCAGAGGTTGTAGTGAGCCAAGATCGCACCACTGCACTCCAGCCTGGGCGACAGAGGCAAGACTCCATCTCAAAAAAAAAAAAAAAAAAAAAAAGAAAAGAAAACTTTGTCATACAAGCTTTCAACCTAAAGCATTAGCCATATGCCCGTGTTTTTGTGCCTGGGACCATGACAACTTTCCCCATATCAATGCTCTTATTTTTTTTTTTTCGAGACAAGAGTTTTGCTCTTATTGCCCAGGCTGGAGTGCAGTGGCACAATCTCAGCTCACCGCAAACTCCGCCTCCCGGGTTCAAGCGATTCTCCTGCCTCAGCCTCCCGAGTAGCTGGGATTACAGGCATACACCACCCCACCCGGCTAATTTTGTATTTTTAGTAGAGACGGGGTTTCTCCATGTTGAGGCTGGTCTCGAACTCCTGACCTCAGGTGATCCGCCCGCCTCGGCCTCCCAAAGTGCTGGGATTACAGGTGTGAGCCACAGCGCCTGGCTGCTCTTATTAAAATAGTCTCATCACCTACCGCAAGCGTGGAGAGCCAAGTGAGGAGAGGGGTCAGTCCCTTTTGGCAGCGCCTGGAAGCCAGTGCTAACATCATGGTGACAACTTTTCATTCTTAAGGAAAATTGCGGAGTGACTTCTATGCATTTTCTATGAATGACCAAATACAGGGTGTGGAAAAGCTGTGTTTGCCATGGCAATGGGAAGCCGAGAGAAACGGGGAGGCGAGAGAGACAGAGACATACACAGAGACTCCCAGAGACAGCCACACAGACTCACACAGAAACAGACAGACAGGCTGGGCTCGGTGGCTCACGCCTGTAATCCCACCACTCTGGGAGGCTGAGGCGGGTAGATCACCTGAGGTCAGGAGTCCGAGAACAGCCTGGCCAACATTGTGAAACCCCGTCTCTAGTAAGAATACAAAAAATTAGCCAGGCATGGTGGCACAGGGCTGTAATTCCGGCTACTCGGAAGGCTGAGGCAGGAGAATCACTTGAACCTGGGAGGCGCGGTTGCAGTGAGCTGAGATCACGCCATTGCACTCCAGCATGGGCGACAAGAGTGAAACTCCGTCTCAAAAAAAAAAACAAAAAAAAAAAACGAAAGAACAGAGAGACACATACAAAGACAGAGATAGAAACGCCCAGCGACAGAGACACACACAGAGAAACACAGACAGACACAGAGACACACACACAGAAACAGACACAGAGACAGAGAGACAAAAAGACAGACACAGAGAAACAAAGAGAGACACACAGAGACAGAGAGAGAGAGAGACACATACACACACACACAGAGAGTAGGAGGCGGCCCGTGGGAGCCGAGCAGAACCAGCGTGAGGCAGGGCCATCTTCTGAATTAAAGGCAACAGTGACTGTAAGCTTGTGCTTTGTGAGTAACAGGATAGATTAGAACAGGGCTGGCTGCCCATGGCCCACGAGCTGTTTCTGGGAAGCCTCCGCAGGTGCCAGCCAGGCCCTGCGCTGCTTCCATGTCCAAAGGCACAGCTGAGAGCTGATGAGAGACCGCGGGGCCCACAGTGCCAAGCATATGAACTATCTGGCCCGTTTGTCAATGCGTGGGTTGATCACATAAGTTATGATCACATAAGTCACAAAGACACACTGATCACATAGATGCACCTGGCAGATAGTAGACCACATGGCGCCTGAGTTAGGGAAGAAAAGAAATAGAAGAATCAACCGAATCATCCCTGAACTTCTTAGCAATACTTCCTCCTAGACAAAGCACAGAGTACCATGTTTATTGCAGGTTTGCTCCTGAGCATGTCAATAAACGCAGCTGCAACGAGAGTGCTCTAACTTTATTATCCCTGTGAGAAAGTACATAGCGTCATGTGAAGGGGGTGCGTGACTCGTGCAGAATCTCCCAAAAATAGTGAGAAAACCAGTGTCAAATCCTACCTCTCGACAGACTCTAGTGTTAACATGTGACCCTCTGACCTGCATTCATAAGACATCTTAGAGACCCGAATCCCGCTTCCTGTGTAATTCGTAGAGCGATCCCAGGCTGCTCAGCAAAAAAAGTCACAGCACGGAGGTGCCGTTGCCCCGGAAGCATTGCAATCAATAGTCAGCTTGGGATTCTTTTCTTTCACTTCCTCCAACAGCTTCTTGATTTCCAAATTAGTTTCATAGGTCTTCAACCTGGAGGGATCAGAGAACACAAATGTTCCCAGAAATTCATTCTCAACTACCCAGGATGCCTGAATATCTGTTTTCAAACACTCAAAGCAGGAAACGTTTTTGGGATTTTCTGGGGGACAGGGTCTTGCTCTGTTGCCCAGGCTGGGGTACAGTGGTGCCATCTTGGCTCTCTGCAACCTCCAGCTCCCAAGTTCAAGCAATTCTCATGCCTCAGGCTCCTGAGTAACTGTGATTACAGGTGTGCACCACCACGCTTGGCTAAGTTTTGTATTTACAGTAGAGATGGGGTTTCGACATGTTAGCCAGGCTGGTCTCGAACTTCTGGCCTCAAGTGATCCATCCACCTCGGCCTCCCAAAGCCATGGGATTACAGATGTGAGCCACAGCACCCAGTCAGAAAAGTTTTCTAAAAAGAAATTTAGACCCACACAATGGGGATCCTTATAAGTCTAAGAAAAAAAAGATTATGGCCAGGCACGGTGTCTCGCACCTGTAGTCCCAGCACTTTGGGAGGCCAAGGCAGGCAGATTGCTTGAGCTCCGCAGTTCAAGGCCAGCCTGGGCAACACGGTGAAACCCTGTCTCTACCAAAAATAGAAAAAGTTAGCCAGGAATGGTGGTGCACGCCTATAGTCCCAGCTACTCGGGAGGCGGAGGCAAGAGGATCACTTGAGCCCAGGAGGCGGAGGTTGCAACGAGCTAGAGATTGCCCTACTGCACTCCAGCCTGGTAACAGAGTAAAACATGCCTTTAAAAAATAAATTTAAAAAATAGATAATCAGGCTGGTGCACGGTGACTCACGCCTATAATTCCAGCACTTTGGGAGGCCGAGGCGGGCAGATCACCTGAGGTCAGGAATTCGAGACCAGCCTGGCCAACATAGTGAAACCCCGTCTCTACTAAAAATACAAAAATTAGCTGGGCATGGTGGCAGACAACTGTAATACCAGCTACTCAGGAGGCTGAGACAGGAGAATCGCTTTGAACCTGGGAGGCAGATGTTGCAGTGAGCCAATACCGCACCACTGTACTGCAGCCCGGGTGACAGAGCGAGACTCTGCCTCCAAATAAATAAATAAAAAATAGTGGCAAATCAAACCTTCAGTAGAACTAAGAGAATGCCAGAGTGAACCCCAGGGTTAATGATAGCAAACTTGGCTCTAACGTGGCTGCAGCATGCAAGCCTGTGTATGTGAACATGAGGGGTGGTGATTGTGGAGACACTGGCTTGCTATGTTGCCCAGGCTGGTCTCAAACTCCTGGCCTCAAACAATCCTCCCACCTTGGCCTCCCAAAGGAGGAACTGAGGAATGAGAAAAGAAATACGCCCCAAACATATGACATAAGAGACCACAGGGGGCTAGAGATTTGTCACCAATAGTCCTTGGTGGCATTACAGACCTCGGTCCCACCAACAAGAGAAGCATGACACTATTTAGCTCAAGTTTCATGATATACCCCTAAAACCTTAACCCATTTATGCCAGAGGTTACAATTATTTGAACTGCAGACGTGTGAAAAATCGTACCTTGAGCAGGATATAAATAACTCCCACATGCTTAGCGTTCCAATAATGCAACACTGGGCATCATGAAGCAGTTTACATGCGTATCATCTCTACAACTAAAATAACTCTTGAATAAGACAAGTGGGCTGTGCACAGTGGCTCACGCCTGCAATCCGGGTACTTTGTGAGGCCAAGACAGGAGGATCGTTTGAAGCCAGGAGTTTGAGAACCTCGGCAACACGGCCACACAGTGCAGCAGAGCAAAACGTTGTCTCAGAAAAGAAAAGACAAAGGCAAGAAGAAACTAAAGGTAGATTACGTTAAAATAAGTCACTGAGGCCGGGCGCGGTGGCTCACGCCTGTAATCCCAGCACTTTGGGAGGCCGAGGTGGGCAGATCACCTGAGGTCAGGAATTCGAGACCAGCCTGGCCAACATAGTGAAACCCCATCTCTACTAAAAATACAAAAAATTAGCCGGGCGTGGTGGCGGGCGCCTGTAGTCCCAGCTGCTCGGGAGGCTGAGGCAGGAGAATGGCGTGAACCCGGGAGGTGGAGCTTGCAGTGAGCCGAGATCGCACCGCTTCACTCCAGCCTGGGCGACAGAGACTGGAGTCTCTGTCTCAAAAAAAAGACAGATTCAAAAAAAAAGACAGACTCCGTCTCAAAAAAAAGACTCCGTCTCAAAAAAAAATAAAAAATACAAATAAGTCATTGAAAAGATATACACGGGTCACAACTAAGGGAGCATCTGTAGGACGATCTTCTGAAAAGCTAAGACCCAGGACAGCTCTGGGAACTACCTATTTTTGGATATAATGATTAGGGGTGTGTGTGTGTGTGTGTGTGTGCTCATGCACACACATACACACAAGCTTCCAGTCTGTACTCCAGGATGATTTAAACTCTCAGTATGCCTAGGACTAAGTGTTTTGGGGGAAAGTTGGACAATATTCAATTCACAGAGCATTTTAGAAAAGTATCTAATTTTTAAATTATCTCCTAAGCTAGGAGTGTGCTATAGAAAGATGCCTTAAGTTGATCCCTACAAAGAGTACACACACTCCCAAAAAAACTCTTCTCTGCATGGGAAATTCACCATGTGAAACAGCCATCCCAGGGCCGAGCACAGTGGCTCACGCCTGTAATCCCGGCACTTTGAGAGGCTGAGGCAGGTGGATCACCTGAGGTTGGGAGTTTGAGACCAACCTGACCAACATGGTGAAACCCCATCTCTACTAAAAACTACAAAAATTGGCCAGGTGCAGTGGCTCATGCCTGTAATCCCAGCACTTTGGGAGGCCAAGGCGAGAAGATCACCTGAGGTCAGGAGCTCGAGACCAGCCTGGCCAACATGGCAAAACCCCATCTCTACTAAAAATACAAAAATTAGCTGGGTGTGGTGGCGAGCGACTGTAATCCTAGCTACTCAGGAGGCTGAGGCAGGAGAATCACTTGAACCCAGGAGGCAGAGGTTGCACTGAGCCGAGATAGCGCCACTGCACTCCAGCCTGGGGGACAGAGAGAGACTCTGTCTTTAAAAAAAAAAAAAAAAAAAAAAAATTAGCCAGCTGTGGTGGTGTGTACCTGTAATCCCAGCTACTCAGGAGGTTGAGGCAGGAAAATCGCTTCAACCTGTGAGAAGGAGGCTGCAGTGAGTCAAGATCGCGCCACTGCACTCCAGCCTGGGCAACAGTGAGACTCCATCCCAAAAAGCAAAAACCAAAAAGGCCGGGTGCAATGGCTCACCTCTGTAATCCCACCACTTTGGGAGGCCGAGGCAGGTGGCTCACCTGAGGTCAGGAGTTCAAGACTAGCCTGGCCAACATGGTGAAACCCCTCTCTACTAAAAAATTAGCCAGGCATGGTGGCAGGCATCTGTAATTCCAGCTACTTGGGAGGCCAAGGTGGGAGAATCGCTTGAACCCAGGAGGTGGGGGTTGCAGTGAGCCAAGATCGCACCACTGCACTCCAGCCTGGGCTACAAGAACAAAACTCCGTCTCAAAAAAAAAAAAAGAAAAAGAAAAAAATTAGCTGGACATGTTGGCATGCCTCTAGGCCCAGCTACTCATGAGGCTGAGGCAGGAGAATTGCTTGAACCTGAGAGGCAGAGGTTGCGGTGAGCCAAGATTGCGCCACTGCACTCCAGCCTGAATGACAGAGCACGACTCCATCTCAAAAAAACAAAAACAAAAAACAAAACAAAACAAAACAAAAAACCCATACCTGAGTATCTTCAAGGATCCAGTTCTTTGTCTTAGAACCCCAAAGAGCTTAATTATGCCACTCTTCCACAAATGATTCTGGCCCAGGTCCAGAGTTTCAAGCTTCTGATTGCTGAGGAGAGCAGATCCAAGATGCTGACAATAGAAAGGCATGAGGGAGCAGCTCCAGAGGCTGTTGAGGAAGAACATGGAAATCCACGCATTCACTGAGCAGGTAGTGGCTCAAGCGTGTAATCCCAACACTTCGGGAGGCCAAGGCGGGTGGATCACTTGAGGCCAGGTGTTCGAGACCAGCCTTGCCAACACGGTCAAACCCCATCTCTACTAAAAATACAAAGATTAGGCAGGGCGTGGGGACAGACACCTGTAGCCCCAGCACCTTGGGAGGCCGAGGAGGGTAGATCACCTGAGGTCAGGAGTTCGAGACCAGCCAGGCCAACATGGCAAAACCCCATCTCTACAAAAAATTAGCCATGCATGGTGGTGTGTGCCTTTAATGCTAGCTACTTGGGAGGCTGAGGCACAAGAATCGCTTCAGCCTGGGAGGCGGAGGTTACAGTGAGCCCAGATTGCGCCACTGCACTCCAGCCTGGGCAATAGAATGAGACTCCATCTCACAAATATATAACATAAAATGAAAATACAAAAATTAGCCAGGTATGGTGGAACCACCTATAATTCCAGCTACTCGAGAGGCAGGAGAATCGCCTGAACCAGGAGGCAGAGGTTGTAGTTAGCCAACATATCACCACTGCATTCCAGCTTGGGTGAAAGAGTGAGACTTGGTCTCAAACAAAACAAAACAAAAAAACAAGCAGCATATTTGCTGGGGCTCCAGTAGTGAGGAAAGGCAGAGGGGAGTGAGCAGAAGAAATCCTTGTCCTCAGAGTTTTTAGTGACAGCAGACATCTCGATATGTTCTATTGAAGACAATGGATGATGGTATTAAAATAAACAGGGTAGAGGTAAGTCAAACAGAGAGGCATTGATTGGCTAGACTTATGCTGGTCATTTAAGTCCTCTTTTGGAAAGTGATATGAGGAAAGAAACTGAAGGATGGTAGATCATGAACCAGCATGCTAACTGGGGGAGGGAATCTTGTAAATAAAATACTGAGCTAGTGAGAAAGTAGAATGATTTATGGCTCATAACTTACACGAGGATCCCCCATAAGGCCCTGTAGGCCACTGTAGAAGCCTTTGGTTTTGTTTTTTTTAAGGCAGAGTTTCACTCTTGTTGCCAAGGCTGGAGTGCAATGGCGTGATCTCGGCTCACTGCAACCTCCGCCTCCTGGGTTCAAGCGATTCTCCTGCCCCAGCCTCCCGAGAATCTAGGATTACAGTCATAGCTGAGATTACAGGAACAAGACACCAGGTAATCCACCCGTTTGCATTGAGCTTTTGAGTCTTTGGAAATAAAGGTATCACGGTCTGGCTTGAGGCTTGAAATATTCCTCAGGGGGATGGGTTAAGAAACTTCAGGAGGCCAGGAATGGTGGCTCATGCCTGTAATCCCAGCACTTTGGGAGGTTGAGGCAGGTGGATCACTTGAGGTCAGGAGTTTGAGACCAGTCTGGCTAACATGGTGAAACCTGGTCTCTACTAAAAATACAAAAATTAGCTGGGTATGGTGGTGCACGCCTGTAATCCCAACTACTCAGCTCAATCAGGAGAATCGCTTGAACCTTGGAGGCTGAGGTTGCAGTGAGCCAAGATCGCACCACTGCACTCCAGCCTGGGTGACAAAGCGAGACTCTGTCTGAAAAAAGAAAAAAAGTACCCTGTGTTCTAGTGTTTTTTTTCTTTACTCTACAGCAAAGCTAAGTAGTAATGACGTGCAGATTCTCTTTGCATTAGGATTGCAGATTCTAGTTGGAAAATAGGTTGCATCCAAGAGATGCAACTGACAAACTTTGGGGAGAGAAGTGATGAAGAGCTCGCCATTCCATTTGTGGAGACTTTGCATTTTCTGGGGGTGGTATCCCACCTATGGTTCCCTGGGTTTATGAGGTGGGGCAGGCTCACTGCTTCCTGATTACTGGATCCCAGCAGAAGCAGCATGCTGCTGAAGTCCAGGTCACTGGGGGCCATTGTTATATATATTTCACTTCTCCAGGCCCTCTACCTGACTTTAGAAGTGCCCACCCACATATATTCAGTTTCTGGAGGGGTTTGATCTTAAAACTGGATCCGAAGTGATACAGTCTGAGATATTGAAAACATAGAAATTGGCCGGGCGTGGTGGCTCACGCCTGTAATCCCAGCACTTTGGAAGGCCAAGGCGGGCAGATCATGAGGTCAGGAGATCGAGACCATCCTGGCTAACACTGTGAAACCCATCTCTACTAAAAATACAAAAAAAATTAGCCAGGCACGGTGGCGGGCATCTGTAGTCCCAGCTACTCAGGAGGCTGAGGCAGGAGAATAGCGAGAACCCGGGAGGAAGAGGTTGCAGTAAGCCGAGATCGCGCCACTGCACTCCAGCCTGGGCAACTAGAACGAGGCTCCGTCTCAAAAAAAAAAAAAAAAAAAGAAAACATAGAAATTAAGGATTTCCAGATTTCCAAACACTTTAAAAATGAGGCCAGGCATGATGGCTCATGCCTGTAATCCTAGCACATTGGGAGGCCGAGGTGGGAGGATTCCTTGAGCACCAGAATTCAAAACCAGCCCGGGAAAGATGACAAGACCTCATCTCTACAGAAAACAGTTACCTGGCCATGGTAATACATGCCTGTAGAGCCAGCTACTCAGGAGGCTGAGGTGGGAGAACCGATCAAGCCTGGAAGACCGAAGCCGCAGTGAGCCGTAATCACCCCACTGCACTCCAGGCTGGGGGACAGAGCAAGACCCTGTCTCAAAAAAAGAAAGAAAGAAGAAAAAGAAAATCGCCTACCGTAGGTGTTTTAGGTTACAGTTTGGATTCTCTAATGCCTGACAGAGAATCCACAATCCACGAGCTATCTGGTTGATACTCAAGTCCAGGTTTGTGAGGCTGCAGGCTTCTTGGAGCGCCTCTGAGAGATATCTACAGCCAAGCTTGGTTATGCTGCATTGCTGTAACCTACAGGATAATCAAAGGAAGAGAAGCCTGTTATCCCTCTGGCTAACGCCCTGTGAAGCAGTTATTTCCAACACTATATACCTTCCACTTATATACTGGAATGCAGTGCTGCACTCTTGGCTCACTGCAACCTCTGCCTCCCAGGTTCAAGCGATTCTTCTGCCTCAGCCTCCCAAGTAGCTGGGATTATAGGTGCCCGCCACCTATATAACCAGACTTGGTGGTGCACGCCTGTAGTGCCAGCTACTCAGAAGACTGAGGCAGGAGAATCGCTTGAATCCGGGAGGCAGAGGCTGCAGTGAGCTGAGATCGCGCCACTGCACTCCAGCCCGGGCGACAGAGCGAGACTCCGTCTCAAGAAAACAACAACAACAACAAAAAGTATTTATATAAAACATAGGTGGCAGGTAGGAATTGACCCATGAACTGGAGCTATATACTTCCAGGTGGGCTTGCACATAAAAGCATGCAAATGGGCCGGGCACAGTGGCTCACGCCTATAATCACAGCAGTGGGAGGCCAAGACGGGCAGATCATTTGAGGTCAGGAGTTCAAGACCAGCCTGGCCAACATGGTGAAACCCCATCTCTACTAAAAAATACAAAAATCGGGCCGGGCGCGGTGGCTCAAACCTGTAATCTCAGCACTTTGGGAGACCAAGGTGGGTGAATCACAAGATCAGGAGTTCAAGACCAGCCTGGCCAAAGTGGTGAAACCCCATCTTTACTAAATACAAAAATTAGCTGGGCACGATGGCTCACACCTGTAATCTCAGCACTTTGGGAGGCTGAGGCAGACAGATCACCTGAGGTCGGGAGTTCAAGACCAGCCTAAGCAATATGGAGAAACCCGTCTCTACTAAAAATACAAAATTAGCCAGGTGTGGTGGCACATGCCTGTAATCCCAGCTACTCAGGAGGCTGAGGCAGGAGAATCTCTTGAACTGGGGAGACGGAGGTTGTGGTGAGCAGAGATTGCACCATTGCACTCCAGCCTGGGCAAGAGCGAAACTCCATCTCAAAAAAAAAAAAAAATTAGCCAGGTGTGGCGGCCCATGCCTGTAATCCTAGCTACTCAGGAGGCTGAGGTAGGAGAATTACTTGAACCCAGGAAGCGGAGGTTGCAGTGAGCCAAGATCGCACCACTGCACTCCAGCCTGGTGACAGAGAGAGACTGTTAAAAAAAAAAAAAAAACATCCAAATGGCCTTCTGATTCCATCCATTTCCAGCTCTGCCTGGGACAACAGCTTAGGCTCTGGGTTCAGACCGACCCAGGACAGGATCTGAGCCCTGGGTCACTTATTTTCTGCGTGGTTAGATTATGGAAATTTCACTTTCCCTGTCATTTTATTTCATGTTTAAGTTTTGTCTTTAACTGACACATTCTACATATATAGGGGTATAGTGTGATGTTTTGGTGCAGGTACACTTCGTATAACGATCAGGTAGGTGACTGTTTGTTTAACAATAGTTATTCTAAGCCAGGCACAGTGGCTCATGCCTGGAACGCCAGCACTTTGGGAGGCCGAGGCAGGCAGATCACTTAAGGCCAGGAGTTCAAGACCAGCCTGGCCAACATGGTGAAACCTCATCTCCACTAAAAGTGCAAAAATTAGCCAGGCATGGTGGAGGGCACCTGTAATCCCAGCTACTTGGGAGGCTGAGGCAGGAGAATCGCTTGAACCTGGGAGGCAGAAGTTGCAGTCAGCCAAGATTACACCACTGCATTCCAGTCTGGGCGACAGAGTGAGACTTCATCCAAAAAAAAAAAAATGAATCTCAGAAATGACCACTAGCTAGAATTTCTGAACAGGAACAGGTCTTCAACCCTATGCAATCTCTTGAATATTTTTCTAACCATAATTTTAATGTGAACAGGTAGCTCACGCTGGGCTTCTTTCCATATAACAAGATTCAGCCAACTATAGTTCGTGGGTCAATTCCAACCTGCCACCTATGTCTTTTACAAATAAGGATTTTTGTTGAGTTTTTTTTTGTTTTTTTCTTGAGACGGAGTCTCACTCTGTCGCCCGGGCTGGAGTGCAGTGGCGCCATCTCAGCTCACTGCAGCCTCTGCCTCCCAGATTCAAGCGATTCTCCTACCTCAGCCTTCTGAGTAGCTGGTACTATAGGCACGCACCACCAAGCCTGGTTAATTTTTGTATTTTTTAGTAGCGATGGGTTTTCACCATGTTGGCCAGGCTGGTCTCGAACCTTAGGTGATCTGCCCACCATTCACCACCTGTTCCCCAATAACCTATGGAAATAAAAGTTTAAAAAAAGGTGCCACTGGCCCTACCACATAACTCAATCTACCTCCAATAGCAGGCAGTACTATGTCATAGGAATTTGAAAGAACACACACAAAGCATCAGATCCGAGAACCAACTACTCATCTCAAATCTTCCTTCATAGCAGGAAGAGGCTCTGCTGACATGCAAATATTAACATGTTTCTACCTGTATCTGCCTGGTTTTTTTTGTTTCTTTGTTTTTTTGAGAAGGAGTCTTGTTCTGTCGCCCAGGCTGGAGTGCAGTGGTGCGATCTCGGCTCACTGCAACCTCCGCCTTCCAGGTTCACGCCATTCTCCTGTCTCATCCTCCCAAGTAGCTGGGACTACAGGCATCCGCCACCACACCTGGCTAATTTTTGGTATTTTTAGTACAGACAGGGTTTCACCATGTTAACCAGGATGGTCTCCATCTCCTGACCTCATGATCCACCCGCCTCGGCCTCCCAAAGTGCTGGGATTACAGGCATGAGCCACCACGCCTGGCCTCTGCCTGTTCTTTAATTCTTACCAGGTTTTTAAAAGTTACATTTGAAATGAATTAACAAGTACTTTCATGTCTCTCCTGCTTGAATTCATGTGCACACACACACACACCCAGCAGGGACTTACACCAAGGTCTGCAGTTTACAATCAGGGTAACTCAAGCCCTCACACAGAAACTTCACCCCTGTATCCCCAATGGGGTTCTTGGCCAAGCACAGGTGTGTCAGCTTCTTGCTGACAACCAAGACAGCAGCAAGGTCCTTGCAACTGGCTTCTGTAAGACGACAGTTTTCCAACCTGCAAAAATATGAAACAAATGGTAGAAGGATGAGAACATTTCCACAACTCCAACCTGCTCAGTGATGTCCACATGCTAGGGTACTCAGCTTCAGCCCTTCCTGTTCATCCCCTGCCCTCTGTCCTGTGGGAGTCATCATGGCCACAAAAGAGCAGGAAGGCGAGAAGGCCAAGATGCAGCGGTCCACCTGGAGCCATCACAGGACACAGGTGTTGTTTTTGAGACGGAGTCTCGCTCTGTCGCCCAGGCTGGAGTGCAGTGGCGCGATCTCGGTTCACTGCCAATCGCCGCCTCCCAGGTTTACACCATTCTGCTGACTCAGCCTCCTGAGTAGCTGGGACTACAGGCGCCCACCACACCTGGATAATTTTTTGTATTTTTTAGTAGAGACGGGGTTTCACCATGTTAGCCAGGATGGTCTCGATCTCTTGACCTCGTGATCTCCCCGCCTTGGCCTCCCAACGTGCTGGGATTACAGGCATGAGCCACCGCACCCGGCCTGTTTTTGGTATTTTTAATAGAAACAGGGTTTCACCATGTTGGCCAGGTTGGTCTCGAACTCCTGAACTCAGATGATCCGCCCACCTCTCTGCTGAGATTACAGGCAGGAGCCACCGTGCCGGGCCTGAAGCAGGTGTTTATTTCAGCAAGAGGCGCCACGTGGGTGGCGCAGTAAGTCAGGTGTTACCCTTTCTCTTCTATAGCCCCAGAACTAAACCAGAGCTGCCCATGGGAAGAGGAGACTTACGACAACATCTGCAGGAAGTGTTTTGGGCGTGTCATGGTCTTGTACAGCAACATGGCACCCTCATCCAGGAGCACATTGGCTGAGAGACGCAGGTGCTTCAGGGACTGGTTGGCTTTGAGGACATAGAAGAATTCAGCCCACTGCTCCGGGGTGGCACAGTGACCTCCCAACCTGTGAAAAGAGTGGGAAAAGTCATTCTTCTGGGAGGACAGAGTATACCCTATCAGCTTTTTTTTTTTGAGACAGAGTTTCACTCTGTTGCCCAGTCTGGAATGCAAAGGCGTGATCTCACCTCACTGCAGCCTCCGCCTCCCGGGTTCAAGCTATTCTCCTGCCTCAGCCTCCGAAGTAGCTGGGATTACAGGCATTCGCCAATTTTTGTATTTTTAGTAGAGACGGGATTTCACCATGTTGGCCACACTGGTCTTGAACTCCTGACCTCAGGTGATCCACCCACCTTGGCCTACCGAAGTACTGGGATTACAGGTGTGAGCCACCGCGCCTGGCCCAGATCAGCTTCTTCTGCTTCACTTCCCAAGACATTATGTCTTTGGTTTATCTCATTCTACTCATGCCTCCAACCCTGGCCTGAATTACTGGAGAGATCTAATGTTGCCTCTGCTTCTTCAAGTATCCCCATGGCCATTAGGGTAACATCCAGCCACTTCTCCAAGAGATTGTAATACAATTCTGTGCAATGTTTCACCAAAACGGCCTGTGTGGATGATTTTGCAGGGGGGAAAAAAAAATTTTTTTTTTGAGACAGGATCTCGCTCTGTTGCCCAGGCTGGAGTGCAGTGGCATGATCACAGGTCACCACAACCTGTCTCCTGGGCTCAAATGATCCTCCCACCTCAGCATCCACTGTAGCTGGGACTAGAAGGGGCAAATTGATGCTTAATACTCAAAATAAAAATTTTATCCTGGCCAGGCGCAGTGGTTCATGCCTGTAATCCTAGCACTTTGGGAGGCCGAGACAGGCGGATCACTTGAGGTCAGGAGTTCGAGACCAGCCTGGCCAACATGGTGAAACCCTGTCTCTATTAAAAATACAAACATTTGCCAGGCGTGGTGGTGCACGCCTGTAACCCCAGCTACTCGGGAAGCTGAGGCAGAACTGCTTGAACCCAGGAGGCGGAGGTTGCAGTGAACGAGATCGCGCCACTGCGCTCCAGCCTGGGTGACAAGAATAAAACTGTCTCAAAGAAAAAAAAAAAAAAAAAAGATTCTCATTGAGTGCAGAGAAGGTTGCATGCTCCTTATGAATACCTAACTCCTGATGATCTGAGATTGATGATCCATTCTCCTCAGGCTCCCAAAGTGCGAGGATCATGCACTCCATAGGATCAGGCACCAACGATTAGCTCCTGTGCCTGATCTGAGATCGAACAGTTTCATCCCAAAACTACCCCCAAACCCGTCTGTGGAAAAAACTGTCTTGTGCAAAACCGGCCCGCGGTGCAGAAAAGGCTGGGGGCCACTGCTCTCAATCCCAACAATTAGGCAAGGTGCAGTCAGGAATAGCATGTCCCTAAAGCTGGAACCCAGCACAGAATTCGGGGTGTTTCTTTGCATGGATAGCTGGTTATGCAACACAGAAGACAAGCTGGTGGGGGAAAGAGGAGAGGCCGACTCCCCCACACAGGCCTGTTTGAGGAATACATTCCCTGTCTGGGACGGCATCTGGAGTGGTTACCCTTTTTCCTAGATCCCCCAGCAACACGGTGCAGTGGACTCCAGGTGCTGGGGAGAGCCGTGACCGTGAGACCCACCTCAGGTACTGCAGGTTGCATTTATGATTTCTGAGCAGGTCACACAGCATCAGCATCATCGTGCGTTCCCACTCGATGTGCCCTGCCAGGGTCAGGTGCGTGAGGGTCTTCTTCCCAATGAAAGCAAGACAGAAGTCCCGGTACGCGGTGTCAGGGGTGACGTTTTTAATCCTAGGGAAAAGCAGAAGAGATTCCACTTGGAGTGATTAATACTCACATTGTGTGGAGGCATGTATAAACAAAAAGCTGTTTCACATTTAGAAATTATTAGAAGTTCTTGGCCGGGTGCAGTGGCTCGTGTCTGTAACCCCAGCACTTTGGGAGGCTGAGGCAGGAGGATAACCTGAGGTCAGGAGTCTGAGACCAACCTGGGCAACATGGTGAAACTCCATCTCTACAAAAAATAAATTAGCTGGGGCCGAGGCAGGCAGATCGCCTGAGGTCAGGAGTTCGAGACCAGCCTGGCCAACATGGGGAAGCCCCGTCTCTACTAAAAATACAAAAATTAGCTGCACATGGAGGGGCATGCTTGTAGTCCCAGGTATTCGGGAGGCTGAGGTAGGAGAATCACTTGAATCCAGGAGGCAGAGGTTGCAGTGAGCCGAGACCGCACCACTGCACTCCAGCCTGGGCAACAGAGCAAGACTCCATCTCAAAAGAAAAAAAAATTCGCCGGGTGTGGTGGCTCACGCCTGTAATCCCAGCACTTTGGGAGGCCGAGGCCGAGGCGGGTGGATCACGAGGTCAGGAGATCAAGACCATCCTGGCTAACACGGTGAAACCCCGTCTTTACTAAAATTACAAAAAACTAGCCGGGCGTGGTGGCGGGCGCCTGTAGTCCCAGCTACTCGGGAGGCTGAGGCAGGAGAATGGCATGAACCCGGGAGGCAGGGCTTGCAGTGAGCCGAGATTGCTGCACTGCACTCCAGCCTGGGGAACATAGCGAGACTGTCTCAAAAAAAAAAAAAAAAGTCAAGAAGCAGAGGATCAGGAAAAACAACTAAGGGGTACTAGGCTTAATACTTGGGTGACAAAATAATCTGTACAACAAACTCCTATGACACACGGTTACCTGTGTAACTAACCTGTACTTGTACCTACTTTTTGGTTTGTTTTGGTAACAAAACAAACCAAAAAAAAGATAGCTGGGGCCAGGCATGGTGGCTCATGCCTGTAATCCCAGCACTTTCGAAGACCGAGGCAGGCGCATCACCTTAGGTCAGGAGTTCGAGACAAGCCTGGCCAAGATGGAGAAAATTCCACCTCTACTAAAAACACAAGATTAAGTCATTGCACTCCAGCGCCTAGGTGACAGAGTGAAACTCTGTCTCAGAAAAAATAAAAAATAAAAAAGGGGCCAGGTGCAGCGGCTCATGCCTATAATCCCAGCACTTTGGAAGGCCGAGGCAGGCAAATCACCTGAGGTCAGGAGCTCGAGATCAGCCTGGGCAACACGGTGAAAACCTGTCTGTGCTAAAAGTACAAAATTAGCCGGGCAAGGTGGCACATGCCTGTAATCCCAGCTACTCGGGAGGCTGAGGCAGGAGAATTGCTTGAACCTGGGAGGTGGAGGATGCAGTGAGCTGAGATCGCGCCATTGCACTCCAGCCTGGGCAACAAGAGTAAATCTCCGTCTCACCAAAAAAAAAAAAAAAAAAAAAGACAGCTGGAAAATCCCCAAATACATGGAGATGAAACAGCACATTTCCAAATTTAAAAAACAAAAGTACAAGAAGCTTAGTCATCGTTCAGGGTCTTCCTTGCAAGATGAGCTTCTACTTACTCCACTTTCTGCAGATGACAGGTGCTACGGGTTACGTGGTCACAAAGAATCCGCACAGAAGAGTCACTCAGGAAGCTTTGTTTCACTTCCAGAAACTTGAGGTTGCTGTTTGAGCTGAAGAGAGAGCAGAAATCTGTCCAGAGGCGAAGAGAGCGAAGATCCTGCCGAGCCCAGTTCGGAATGGTTAGGTAAGTGCACCTGCAGGAGAACACACGTTCATCTCTTAGGACTAGTACCTGCATGGTGAGATGGGCATCTGCAAACCACATTTCAATGGCAAAAACCACAATTACTTTTGCACCAACCTAAAACAGTGTCTATAGTAAACAATATTGCATCACATGCTTTGCTACCAGTATAGATCTTAAGTTTTACAAAAAAAATAAAATAATAGATAAGGCTGAGTGAGGTGGCTCATGCCTGTAATCCCAACACTTTGCTAGGCCAAAGTGGGAAGATCACTTGAGCCCAGGAGTTTAAGACCAACTTGGGCTAGAAACTGAGACCCCCATCTCTACAAAAAAATAAAATAATTAACCGGGCAAGGTGGTGCACGCCCATAGTCCCAGCTACTCGGGAGGCTGAGGCAGGAGAATCACTTGAACCCGGGAGGCGGAGGTTGCAGTGAGCCAAGATCGCGCCACTGCACTCCAGCCTGGGGGACAGAGCGAGACTCCGTCTCAAAAATAAAAAGCCCCAATTCCTAATTGCCAAGTCGTGTCTCCACGTTGAACATGAAGCTGGAAAGAAGTCCAGCCAGAGGGAAATTCTGACAGTAAGCGACAGGGCAAAGGAGACGCTGGCCTCTTCCTAGTGGAGCGTGGGATGGGAAAACAGTTCTTACCTTTCAAATTCAATGTCCAGTTCAAAATCCATGTAATTCTCCAGGAACACCCCCTTTGCTACCTGCAGTGAGAGTTTCTGCAAGTCTTGACAATGCTTCAGGCTGAAGGAACAATGCATCACTTCAGAAGTATTTGTCAGGTGAATAGAAATTTCCTTGAACGGGGCCACCACCACCTTCGCCAGCTCCTCCTCCTGAGACTCATACAGGCAGCCCAAGACCTCCTTCAGGTCGGTCACGGATAAGGGCTTATTTGCATGAAGATGTGCTTTGCATTGCAGCAATTCCTGTTTGATGTCCGGTGACATCCGGCAGCCAAAAGTGGCCTCCAACTCCTTGGCTCTCTTCTCGTTAGCGAGGCCGAATAAGAAGTGTCCTACTTGAATCAGGTCGGGGTTCTTGAGTCTTTCTTCTCCGGAAAGCAGCTTCTGTACGTCCCCGATGTCCCAGGCGTGGCCGTCCCTGTCCTCCCCCTCCTCCTTCTCCAGGGCGTAGAACAGGGCAGTGAGAAACTGCTGGAAGCTGAGGTGGATGAAGGAGTAGCAGCCTTTGGAGACTCTGTCCTGGCGGAGGATGTCTCCGTCCAGGAACAGACGGAGGTCGGACTCCTGCACCCCGAGCCTTTCCAGGTCCTCTCGGTGGAACACGGACATCTGCGCCCACAGGCCCTGCGCGGCCAGGAGGCTCAGCGTCCGCAGCGCGCCCCGCAGCTGTGCGCCCTGCGGGAACCGGCTGCAGAGGAAACGCAGGAACAGCCCCGTGCGGGTGAGGCAGGTGGGGACCGGGTCCTCCCCCTTCTCCATCTGCAGCTTCAGAGTCGTGCACACAATCCAGCACACCGCGGGGGCCGAGCCCAGCTGGAACAGGGCCGCGTTGCTCCTCATTAGCTCAAAGGCACGCATGGCTTGGTCCTCGTCTCCAAAGTGTCTCAGGAAATAGGCCCTCCTGTCCTCCTCCAGGAAGCCCTCCACCCTTACGTAGATCGGCTGCTGCGCCAGGAGCTGGAGGTCCCTCAGTGCCCTGGGCCGCGTGGTGACCAGCAAGGCTGCCCTGGGTAACATCTTCCTCTTCAGCAAACTCCCCAGGAGGACGGGCACCGGCTTCTTCTTCTCCCAGTCCCCGCAGATGTCCTGGATCAGCGCCCCAGGTGGGACTTTCAGCTCATCAAGGCCATCGACCACGAACAGGATTCTCTGTGCTTGGGCTAGGATGCTTGGAATGTCATCCTGCAATTCAGGCCAGTCTTTGGAGATCAGCTCTGCAAAACTGCAGGGGCCCATGCGGCTGAGCTCCTTGCAGCTGAGGTAGAACGCGTATCTGAGCGTCGGGCTGAGGTTGCAGTCTGTCCAGTCCAGCATACACTTTTTGGCCAGCGTGGTTTTCCCCACGCCTGCGGGGCCGTGCAGCACCACCGTGTAAGGTGTTAGCTTCCTGGGTGTTCTGGGATTCAAGAATGGAATGAACCGTTGGTTTCTCAGAGTGACGTCGTCATGGAAATTGTCAATGTCTCCTTGCCAAAAGGTGTTCTTCCAGACCAAAGACTGTTTCTCCATTGAATTTCTCCATCCTTCCTTTTCACCTGCAGTGACAGCCCATAGGACAGTTGAGGTTGATGATGATGATTTTCTGAATTATTTTGTCAAGTACCAGAAATGAGGGCCAGGCACGGTGTCTCATGCTTGTAATCCCGGCACTTTGGGAGGCCAAGGTGGGTGGATCACTTGAGGTCAGGAGTTCAAGACCAGCCTGGCCAAGATAGTGAAACCCCATCTCTACTAAAAATACAAAACATTAGCTGGGGGTAGTGGCGGCCGCCTGTAATCCCGGCTACTCAGGAGGCTGAGGCAGAGAATTGCTTGAACCCGGGAGGCAGAGGTTGCAATGAGCAGAGACGGAGCCACTACACTCCAGCCTGGGCTACAGAGCAAGATTCCGTCTCAAAAAAAAAAAAAACTACCAGAAATGAATAAAACCAGGAAGAAGTGATGCACCTTGCATGCTCTCAAACACCAAACTCATGACCATAGGACCGTATTTACCCACCTGGCTTTGCTAACTCCGAGTCTTCTTCTGCATCTCCCAGCTCAGGATTATCTATTTCTTGCACCTGTCCGTCCTCTGTAAAATACTTAGATGTAAGCCTGACACAGTAATTTACACTTCGTAAATCAGACATTATTGTACATAAAGTGTCAGCCAGGCATGGTGGCTCATGCCTGTAATCACAGCACTTTGGAAGGCTGAGGTGGGCGGATCACAAGGTCAGGAGATCAAGACCAGCCTGGCCAACATGGCAAAACCCCATCTCTACTAAAAATACAAAAAAAAAAAAATTAGCCAGGTGTGGTGAAACACGCCTGTAATCCCAGCTACTCCGGAGGCTGAGATAGGAGAATCACTTGAACCCAGAGGCGGAGGTTGCAGTGAGCCCAGATCTCGCCACTGCACTCCAGCCTTACACTCCAGCCTGGGCGACAGAACGAGACTCCATCTCAAAAAAAAAAAAAAAAAAAAAAAAATGACCAGGACACCCCAGGTTCTACTTACCCATCATCTCAGCCTTTGCCATCTTACACAATTCCGTGAGATTCATCTCTTCCAAGATGTTCACAGTCGCATTCCTTATCCAATTTTCTGAGGAGGTGTTGACCAGAATTTCTGCCAGTTTCTTGCCATCAGCCTCTTCCACCTCAGACCATGGGGTCTTCTGTAGCACGTCTTCGAGGGGAAAAGCCCATAAAAGGGATTTGAAACTCTTTAATTCATCCTCGTTCAGCTGCTCCAGAAGGGTCTGCAGAGTCCACTCTAGCTGGGGCGATGTCATAGTGCTCCGAGTATGAGACCTTAGGTTAAGGCTGAAGAACTGGGGGGAAAAAAGGAAAAACAGTTCACGAGTTACCATCATTAAATGAAACCACAGTTTCCTGTGTGCCAAGAACAAGACTGTTCCTGCTGTACAGTGAGTGGTAAAATATTCCAAAGACTGAATTAAGAGACTGAAAATCTGGCCCAGCACGGTGGCTCACGCCTGCGGCCAGGAGTTCGAGACCAGCCTGGCTAACTTGGTAAAAAGAACGAACAAAAGGCTGGGCACGGTGGCTCACGCCTGTAATCCCAGCACTTTGGGAGGCCGAGGCGGATGGATCACGATATCAGGAGATCGAGACCATCCTGGCTAACACAGTGAAACCCCTGCCTCTACTAAAAAAATACAAAAAATTAGCAGGGCGTGGTGGCGGGCACCTGTAGTCCCAGCTACTCGGGAGGCTGAGGCAGGAGAATGGTGTGAACCCGGGAAGTGGAGCTTGCAGTGAGCAGAGATCTCACCATTGCACTCCAGCCTGGGCGACAGAGCGAGACTCCGTCTCAAAAAAAAAAAAAAAAAAAAAAAAAAGAATACAAAGAATGAAGGGTCAGTGGTATGCTAGGGCCAGCCCGTGCTGCCTAATGGGGGCTTCCTATATGTACCTATACCAACGTCCATGGGCTGTGATTTCACACTGATAGTACAAAATCACAAGGGGAGTGTTTATGCCACAGAAATCAGCAAACACGGCAGGGCGCGGTGGCTCACGCCTGTAATCCCAGCACTTTGGGAGGCCAAGGCGGGTGGATAACCTGAGGTCGGGAGCTCAAGACCAGCCTGACCAACACGGCGAAACCCCATCTCTACTAAAAATACAGAAATTACAGGCGGGTGCCTGTAATCCCAGCTACTCAGGAGGCCGAGACAGGAGAATCACACTTGAACCTGGGAGGTGGAGGTTGCATGATCTGAGATCACGCCATTGCACTCGAGCCTCGGCAACAAGAACAAGACTCTGTCTCAAACAAACAAAAAAACAAATCAGCAAACACTACAAACCAAGACTTCCTCGCCACCAACCCTCAGAGCCACTTGTTTAACATTTCAGCCCACCACTGAATGACACATTGAAAACAAATAGCAAGAGGACAGATATAAATATAACTGTACTGGCCGGGTATGGTGGCTCAGGCCTGGAATCCCAGCACTTTGGGAGGCTGAGGCAGGTGGATCGCCTGATGTCAGGAGTTTGAGACCCGCCTGGCCCACATGGTGAAACCCCATCTCTACTAAAAATACAAAAGCTAGCCAAGTGTAGTGGTAGGAACCTGTAATCCCAGGTACGTGGGAGGCTGAGGCAGGAGAATCGCTTGAACCCAGGAGGCGGAGGTTGCAGTGAGCTGAGATAGCGCCATTGTACTCCAGCCTGGGCAACAAGAGCGAAACTCTATCTCAAAAAAAAAAAACTTAGCCAGGCCTGGTGGAACATACCCGTAGTCCCAGATACTTGGGAGGCTGACACAGGAGGATTGTTTGAGCCTACGATTTGGAGGTTGCAGTGAGCCAGCCACTGCACGCCAGCCTGGGTGACAGAGTGAGGCCCTGTCTCAAAAGTAAGTAACTAATGGCCGGGTGCGGTGGCTCACGCCTGTAATCCCAGCACTTTGGGAGGCCGAGGCAGGCGGATCACGAGGTCAGGAGATCGAGACCATCCTGGCTAACACGGTGAAACCCCGTCTCTACTAAAAATACAAACAATTAGCCGGGCGTGGTGGCGGGCGCCTGTAGTCCCAGCTACTCGGGAGGCTGAGGCAGGAGAATGGCGGGAACCCGGGAGGCGGAGCTTGCAGTGAGCGGAGATCGCGCCACCGCACTCCAGCCTGGGCGACAGAGCGAGACTCCGTCTGGGTTGGGGGGGCGGGGGGAAGAGGCAGCCTGGAAAATAAATAACAGAAAAAGTGACTTGCCAAGCCCGGGTGCTGATAGAGGTGGACAGCTTTACCCTTGGAGGGAACAGCAAATCTTTTTCCCCAGCTGTGACGTGTGGGGAAAAGGAGGACAGATCAGACTGTTACTGTGTCTATGTAGAAAGAAATAGACATAAGAGACTCCATTTTGTTCTGTACTAAGAAAAATTCTTCTGCCTTGAGATGCTGTTAACCTGTAACCCTAGCCCCAACCCTGTGCTCCCAGAAACATGTGCTGTGTCACACGTGGGTTTAGGGCTATGCAGGATGTGCTTTGTTAAACAGATGCTTGAAGGCAGCATGCTTGTTAAAAGTCATCACCACTCTCTAATCTCAAGCACCCAGGGACACAATACACTGCGGAAGGCTGCAGGGACCTCTGCCTAGAAAAGCCAGGTATTGTCCAAAGTTTCTCCCCATGTGATAGCCTGAGATAAGGCCTCGTGGGAAGGGAAAGACCAGACCGTACCCCAGCCCGACACCCGTAAAGGGTCTGTGCTGAAGAGGATTAGTATAAGAGGAAGGCCTTTTTGCAGTTAAGAGGAAGGTATCTGTCTCCTGCTCGTCCCTGGGCAATGGAATGTCTCGGTGTAAAACCCGATGGTATGTTCCATCCACCGAGATAGGGGAAAACCGCCTTAGGGCTGGAGGTGACACATGCTGGCAGCAATACTGCTCTTTAATGCACCAGATATGTTTATGTATGAGCACATCAAGGCACAGCACATTTCCTAACCTTGTTTATGACACAGACATTTGCTCACATGTTTTCCTGCTGACCCTCTCCCCACTGTTACCCTATTGTCCTGCCACATCCCCGTCTCCGAGATGGTAGAGATAATGACCAATAAATACTGAAGGAACTCAGAGACCCGGCCGGCGCGGGTCTCCTGAGCCCACTTTTCTTTCTGTGTACTTTGTCTCTGTGTCTCTTTCTTTTCTCAGTCTCTCGTCCCACCTGACAAGAAACACCCACAGGTGTGGAGGGGCAGGCCACCCCTTCAGTGAGGTATAATTACATATATCCTATTTTAGGATGGAGCAGGAAGAGCATGAGAGCCCAGGAGTTCCAGACCAGCCTGGGCGACACAAGGAGACCTTGTCTCTATTTTTTAAGTATTTTTAAAGTAATATATACAACGTTTACTTGTCAAAGTGTACAGCATGGAGCGATGTTATATATACAGTGAAATGATTACCACAATCCAGCTAATTAACATATCCACTGCTTCATATAGTTGCCTTTCGTTTTTGCAGTGACAACGCTTGATGTACTTAGAAAAATTCAGGGTTTTTTGGCCAGGCACGGTGGCTCACGCCTGTAATCCCAGCACTATGGGAGGCCGAGGCGGGCAGATCACAAGGTGAGGAGCTCAAGACCATCCTGGCTAACACGGTGAAACCCCGTCTCTACTAAAAATACAAAAAAAAAATTAGCCGGGCATGGTGGCGGGCGCCTGTAGTCCCAGCTACTTGGGAGGCTGAGGCAGGAGAATGGCTTGAACCTGGGAGGCGGAGCTTGCAGTGAGCCAAGATCGCGCCACTGCACTCCAGCCTGGGCGAGTGAGACTCCCTCTCAAAAAAAAAAAAAAAAAGAAAAGAAAAGAAAAATTCAGGGTTTTTTTTTTCTTTTTCAGAAAGTCTTGCTCTGTCGCCCAGGCTGGAGTGCAATGGTGCGAGGCTTACCACAACCTCCTCTTCCCGGGTTCAAGCGATTCTCCTGCCTCGGCCTCCCAAGTAGCTGGGATTACAGGTATGCCCCACCACACCTAATTTTTTTTGTATTTTTAGTACAAACGGGGTTTCACCATGTTGGCCAGGCTGGTCTTGAACTCCTGACCTCAGGTGATCTGCCCACCTCAGCCTCCCAAAGTGCTGGGATTACAGGTATGAGCCACCAGGCCTGGCCAAGTATTTTTTTTCCCAAGTACATTTTTTTCTTTTTTTCTTTTTTTTGAGATGGAGTCTCCCTCTGTTGCCCAGGCTGGAGTGCAGTGGCACAATCTCGACTCACTGCAACCTCCACCTCCCAGGTTCAAGTGATTCTAGTGCCTCAGCCTCTCAAGAAGCTGGGATTACAGGCGCACCGCATCACGCCGGGCTAGTTTTTGTATTTTTAGTAGAGACAGGGTTTCTTGTTTTTTTCTGAGATGGAGTCTTGCTCTGTCACCCAGGCTGGAGTGCAGTGGCGCGATCTGGGCTCACTGCAAGCTCCGCCTCCCAGGTTCACGCCATTCTCCTGCCTCAGCCTCCCAAGTAGCTGGGACTACAGGCGCCCGCCACTATGCCCAGCTAATTTTTTTTGTATTTTTAGTAGAGATGGGGTTTCACCGTGTTAGCCAGGATGGTCTCGATCTTCTGACCTCGTGATCCGCCCGCCTCGGCCTCCCATAGTGCTGGGATTACAGGCGTGAGCCACCGCGCCCGGCCGAGACAGGGTTTCTCTATGTTGGCCAGGCTGGCCTCGAACTCCTGACCTCAGCTGATCCACCCGCCTCGGCCTCCCAAAGTGCTGGGATCACAGGCGTGAGCCACCGCATCTGGCCATTTACATTTTTTTTTTTTTTTGATGCAGCATTTCACTCTGGTTGCCCAGGCTGGAGTGCAGTGGCGCAATCTCAGCTCACCGCAACCTCCGCCTCCCGGGTTCAAGTGATTCTCCTGCCTCAGCCTCCCGAGTAGCTGGGATTACAGGCATGTGCCACCACGCCCAGCTAATTTTGTATTTTTAGTAGAGATGGGGTTTCTCCATGTTGGTCAGGCTGGTCTCAAACTCCCGGCCTCAGGTGATCTGAAAGTGCTGGGATTACAGGCGTGAGCCACCGCGCCCAGCCTACTTTTTTTTTTTTTTAAACAGGGTCTTCATCTCATCCAGGCTGGAGTGCAGTGGCTCAATCACACCTCATTGCAGCCCCCACCTCCTGGCTCAGGTGATCCTCCCACCTCACCCCACAAGTAGCTTGGACACAGCACAAGGTCTGGCCTTCTTTGTTTTTTGAGACGGAGTCGCACTCTGTCTCCCAGGCTGGAGTGCAGTGGCGCGATCTCAGCTCATTGCAACCTCCCCCTCCTAGGTTTAAGCTATTCTCCTGCCTCAACCTTCCAAGTAACTGGGATTACAGGCATGCACCACCACACCTGGCTAATTTTTGTGTTTTTAGTAGAGACAGGGTTTCACCATTTTGGGCAGGCTGGTCTCAAACTTCTGGCCTCAAGTGATCCACCCGCCTCGGCCTCCCAAAGTGTTGGGATAACAGGCATGAACCACTGTGCCTGGCCTTATATTTTTTTGTAATGACAGAGTTTTACCATGTTGCCCAGGCTAGTCTCAATCTCCTGAACTCCTCTAAACTATATTTGAATAGAAGTCCTTAAGACATTAGGCCAGGCGTGGTGGCTCACACCTGGAATCCCAGCACTTTGGGAGGCCGAGGCAGACAGATTACCTAAAGTCAGGAGTTCAAGACCAGCCTGGCCAACATGGTGAGACCCCGTCTCTACTAAAAATACAAAAATTAGCTGGGCATGGTGGCACGTGCCTGTAGTCCCAGCTACTCAGGAGGCTGAGGCAGGAGAATGGCGGGTGAACCCAGGAGGCGGAGTTTGCAGCGAACCAAGATCACGCCACTGCACTCCAGCCTGGGCGACAGAGGGAGACTCCGTCTCAAAAAAAAAAAAATCAAAGATCCTTCCAGCATCCTCGCACCAACCATTAAGGCTTGGGAAGGGCTATGGTGGAAACTCAACCAATAGCTTCTTCTCCCTTAAACGAGAAGACAAAGAAATCGATGCAAGAACCAGCACTCACCTCCCTCAGGTCAGGTCTTGCTTCCAGCCTGTGTTTCCTGCAAAGGAAACGGATAAAAAGGGGAGGTCTCTGGCCCTTGGTACGCTAGGTGGAGAGACAGCTTTCCCGCCCAGGGTGGAACCGCCCCACTGAGATTAACATTGGGTGGCTCCCAACCACTGACCTCAGGCTCACCTTGACATCACCTGGGCCCCATCCTCAGGGATTTGGCTGTAATTGGGCTTCAGTGGGCTTTGGAGAATTACGGCTTGCTGAATCTCCCCAGGTGAGATTAATGTGCAATTCCCTTCCTAGACCACCCGGGCCAGGTGTGATAGGCGACAGAACAGGAAATACACATTTTGGGTTTTGCAGGGTACCTGGCTCCCAGCTTTAAAAACTCTTGTAGAGAAAAAAAATTAAACAAAAATAAATAAAAATTAAAAAAAAAGAGGACAAAAACTCCCGTGACTTCCTAAGTTACAAATACAATAAGTCTACTTTGTGGCCAACTGTGGTGCCTCCTGCCTATAAATCCCAGCAGGCTGAGAGGCCTAGGCCAGTGGATCCCTAGGGGCCAGGAGTTTGATACCAGCCTAGGCAACATAGCAAGATGCCATCTCTTCAAAAATATTTAATAATTAGCCATGCATAGGCTGGGCGTGGTAGCTCATGCCTGTAGTCCCAGCAATTTGGGAAGCCGAGGCGGGTGGATCACCTGAGGTCAGGAGTTGGAGACCAGACTGGCCAACGTGGTGAAACTCTGTCTCTACTAAACATACAAAAAATTAGCCAGGTGTGGTGGCAGGTGCCTGTAATCCCAGCTACTCGGGAGGCTGAGACAGGACAATCACTTGAACTAGGGAGGTGGAGGGTGAGTGAGGCACGATCACGCCATTGCACTCCAGCCTGGGTGACAAGAGCAAGACTGTCTCAAAAACAAAAACAAAAAAATTAGCCATACATGATGGGCTGCACCTGTAATCCCAGCTATTCAGGAGGCTGAGGTGGGAGGATCACCTGAGCTCAGGAGTTTGAGGCTGCAGTGAGCTGTGACTGGCCATCTCACTCCAGCCTAGGCCACAGAGTGAGACCCAGTCTCAAAAAAATAAATAGATAACTGATATTTAATTTTTTTTTTTGGATGGAGTCTTGCTCTGTGGCCCAGGCTGGAGTGCAGTGGTGCAATCTCCATTCTTGCAACCTCTGCCTTCCAGGTTCAAGCAATTCTGATGCCTCAGCTTCCCAAGTAGCTGGGACTGCAGGCACATGCCACCATGCCCAACTAATTTTTTGTATTTTTAGTAGAGACAGGGTTTCACCATATTGGTCAGGCTGGTCTCAAACTCCTGATGTCAGGTGATTACAGGCATGAGCCACCGCACCTGGCCTAAAATTGTTTTTAAATAAAACAGTGTATGTTGTGGAAAGCATTCAGCACAGAATTTTGGTAGTTTAAACTGTTAATTTAATGGAAGCAAATGGTCCCACAAATGAAGATGTATATATCAGTTGCAGCATGCCATCTATAGAAATAGGCACTATGGAGGCCTGGCATGGTGGCTCACACCTGTAATCCCTGCACTTTGGAAGGCTGAGGCAGGTGGATCATCTGAGGTCAGCAGTTCGAGACCAACCTGGGCAACATGGCAAAAAACCCCTGGCTACTAAAAATAAAGAATTAGCCAGGCATGGTGGTGTGCACCTGTAATCCCAGCTACTCAGGAGGCTGAGGCGTAAGAATTGATTGAACCTGGGAGTTGGAGGTTGCCGTGAGCCGAGATTGCACCACTGCGCTCCAGCCTGGGCGACAGAGACTCCATCTTTAAAAAAAAAAAAAAAAGATGGCCAGGCGCAGTGGTTCATGAATGTAATCCCAGCACTTTGGGAGGCTGAGGCGGGAGGACTGCCTGAGTCCAGGAGTTCAAGACCAGCCTGGGCAATATGGCGAGACTCCCTCTCTGAAGAAAAAGAAAATAAAAACAATAAAAATAAATTATATTCTAGCTGACAAAAAGAGAGAGAGAGTATATTTTGTTAAAACATTTGGCCTTTAGTCCTAGAGCAGCTATGGAGAGATAAACATGAAAGAGGTATCTCTTGTTATACATACCCAGGCCCTGCAACCACACCTGAGTTTATGTAAATGAGGTGACTTTTGGAAAGCCCCTAGATAACCCCACAAGTGCGAGGGACTGGCTGCCAAAGAAACCGTCAGTGATTAGACATTGGGAACTTTCAGCCCCAGGCTCCAAGTGGCCTCCAGGGAGGGGAGAGGGGCTGAAGGTTGAATTGATTATGAACTGCCAGCTATGTGATCAGCATTGCCCACCTAAGGAATCCTCCATAAACCCCAAAAGAAAAGGGTTTGGGCCGGGTGTCCTGTGGCTCATGCCCGTAATCCCAACGCTTTGGGAGGCCTAGATGGGAGGATTGCTTGAGCCCAAGAATTCTAGGCCAGTCTGGACAAAATAGCAAGACCCTGGCTCTACAAAAAATAAAAAATTAGCCAGGCGTGGTGGAGTGCACCTGTAGACCCAGCTACTCAGGAGGCTGAGGCATGAGAATCACTTGAACGCAGGAGACAGAGGCTGCAGTGAGCTGAGATAGCGCCACTGCACTCCAGCCTGGGTGACGGAGTTAGACTGTCTCAAAAAAAAAAAAAACCAGGAAAGAGTTCAGAAGAGCTTCCTGGTTGGTGAACCCGGGTGCATTCGTGTGCCAGGACTGTGGTGCACCCCAGGTCCACAGGGACAGAAGCTCCTGCACTTCGGACTCCTCTAAACCTCCCCCTACGCATCTCTTCCTTGGCTGTTCATTTGTATCCTTTAAAATATGAAAGGGCGGGTTGCCCCTCCACACCTGTGGGCATTTCTCGTTAGGTGGAAGGAGAGACTTGGAAAAGAAAGAGACACAGACAAAGTATAGAGAAAGAAATAAGGGGACCCAGGGGACCAGCATTCAGCATATGGAGGATCCCGCCAGCTTCTGAGTTCCCTTAGTATTTATTGATCATTTTGGGGTGTTTCTCAGAGAGGGGGATGTGGCAGGGTCATAGGATAATAGTGGAGGGAAGGTCAGCAGATAAACACGTTAACAAAGGTCTCTGCATCATAGACAAGGTAAAGAACTAAGTGCTGTGCTTTAGATATGCATACACATAAACATCTCAATGCCTTACGGAGCAGTATTGCTGCCCGCATGTCCCACCTCCAGCCCTAAGGCGGTTTTCCCCTATCTCAGTATATGGAATATACAATCGGGGTTTACACCCATACATTCCATTGCCCAGGGACGAGCAGGAGACAGATGCCTTCCTCTTGTCTCAACTGCAAAGAGGTGTTCCTTCCTCTTTTACTAATCCGCCTCAGCACAGACCCTTTACTGGTGTCGGGCTGAGGGACGGTCAGGTCTTTCCCTTCCCATGAGACCATATTTCAGGCTATCACATGGGGAGAAACCCTGGACAATACCTGGCTTTCCTAGGCAGAGGTCCCTGCGGCCTTCCGCAGTGTTTGTGTCCCTGGGTACTTGAGATTAGGGAGTGGTGATGACTCTTAAGGAGCATGCTGCCTTCAAGCATTTGTTTAACAAAGCACATCTTGCACAGCCCTTAATCCATTTAACCCTGAGTGGACACAGCACATGTTTCAGAGAGCACAGGGTTGGGGGTAAGGTCATAGATTAACAGCATCTCAAGGCAGAAGAATTTGTCTTAGTACAGAACAAAATGAAGTCTCCTGTGTCTACTTCTTTCTACACAGACACAGTTACAATCTGATCTCTCTTTCTTTTCCCCACAAAAATATCCTTTGTAGACCAGGCACAGTGGCTCAGGCCTGTAATCCCAGCACTTTGGGAGGCTGAGGCAGATGGATCACTTAAGGTCAGGAGTTTGAGACCAGCCCAGCCAGCATGGTGAAACTGCGTCTCTACAAAAATACAAAAATTAGCGGGGCATGGTAGTTCAACGCCTGTAATCCCAGCTACTCGAGAGGCTGAGGCAGAATTGTTTGAACCCGGGAGGCAGAGGCAGAGGTTGCAGTGAGCCGAGGTCGCACGACTGCACTCCAGCCTGGGTGCAACAGAGTGAGACTCCATCTCAAAAAACAAAAAACAAAAACAAAAACAAAACAAAAAATGAAAACCCACTTTTAGTAAAAAAAATAAAAATGAAAAAATGTGAATCAGGCTGCACTCTGGCCCACATCCTGGCTGCTGTGTATCACGTGGCTCTAGACACTGCACTTTTGCCTCCTCATCATTGCTGTAGATAGGATTTCTGACAGCAGGGTCATTAGACGAATTTTTTTTTTTTTTTGAGACGGAGTCTCGCTCTGTCGCCCAGGCTGGAGGGCAGTGGCGCAATCTCTGCTCACTGCAAGCTCCGCCTCCCGGGTTCACACAATTCTCCTGCCTCAGCCTCCCGAATAGCTGGGACTACAGGTGCCTGCAACCATGCCTGGCTAATTTTTTTTGTATTTTTAGTAGAGACGCGGTTTCACCATGTTAGCCAGGATGGTCTCGATCTCCTGACCTCGTGATCCTCCCGCCTAGGCCTCCCAAAGTGCTGGGATTACAGGCGTGAGCCACCGCGCCCGGCCCCATTAGACAAATTTGTATCTGCACGGTTCCTACAGATAAACTCTGGGACATTAGAATTATAAGGCTTTTGTTTAAGGATGGTTTCAGATGTTTTTCAGACCTTGAATTCCAGCCAAATAGCTGACACTAACCAGTTTGAAGACCCCAGTGAGGAATGGGATCAGCATGAGAACACTGCGTCTTCATGCCCCTGTCTCCGCCAGCAGTCAGCATGGCCACACTCTGGCCCACACCAAAACACTTAAAAACCCTAGCCCCGGCCGGGTGCAGAGGCTCACACCTGTAACTCCAGCACTTTGGGAGGCCAAGGCAGGTGAATCACCTGAGGTCAAGAGTTCAAGACCAGCCTGGCCAACATAGTGAAACCCCGTTTCTACTAAAAACACAAAAAATTAGTCGGGCGTGGTAGCGGGTGCCTGTAACCCCAGCTACTCAGGAGGCTGAGGCAAGAGAATTACTTGAACCTGGGAGGCGGAGGTTGCAGTGAGCAAAGATCCTGCCACTGCACTCCAGCCTGGGTGACAAAGCAAAACTCCATCTCAAAAAAAAAAAAAACCCTAGACCCAAACTTCTGGGGGAGATGGATTGGAGGTTTCCTCCCATCTCCTCATTCCTCAGCCCTGTGATTAAACTTCCTTCTCTTCTGCAACACAGTGACCCGGCAAATTGACTCACAGCGTGCATTGGGCAACGGACCTACTGTCAGAGGCGTGTAACCAGGGCAACTCCATCTTGAATAGGAGCTGACTAAAATAAGGCTGAGACCTACCGGGCTGCATTCCCAGACAGTTAAGGCATTCTCCAAAAAAAACAAAAATGACAGGCACGGTGGCCCAGCACTTTGGGAGGCCGAGGCGGGTGGATTACCCGAAGTAGAGTTTGAGACCAGCCTGGCCAACACGGTGAAACCCCGTCTCTACTGAAAATACAAAAATTAGTCAGGCGTGGTGGCTCGTGCCTGTAATCCCACCTACTTGCGAGGCTGAGGCAGGAGAATCGCTTGAGCCGGGGAGGCGGAGGTTGCAGTAAAAAGAAAAAAAAAAGCATTCTAAGTCACAGGATGAGATAAGTCAGCACAAGATACAGGTCATAAGGACCTTGCTGATAACACAGGTAGCAATGTAGCAGGACCAGCCACAGACAAAACTCCTCAGACACCGAGTTAAAGAAGAAAGGGGTTTATCCGGCCAGGGGCATCGGCAAGACTCCCGTCTCAAGAGCCGAGATCCCCAAGTGAGCAATTCCTGTCCCTTTTAAGGGCTCACAACTCTAAGGGGGTGTGCGTGAGAGGGTCGTGATCGACTGAGCAAGCAGGGGGTACGTGACTGGGGGCTGCATGCACTGGTAATCAGATCCAAACAAAACAGGATAGGGATTTTCACAGTGCTTTTCTATACAATGTCTGTAATCTATAGATAACCGATTAGGTCAGGGGTCAATCTTTAACTACCAGGCCCAGGGTGTGGCGCCGGGCTGTCTGCTTGTGGATTTCATTCCTGGGCCGCGGGGCTGTCTGCTTGTGGATTTCATTCCTGGGGCGCGGGGCTGTCTGCTTGTGGATTTCATTTCTGCCTTTTAGTTTTTACTTTTTCTTTCTTTGGAGGTGGAAATTGGGCATAAGACAATATGAGGGGTGGTCTCCTCCCTTAGCAATAAAGAATCCAGCCAGGCCGGGCGCGGTGGCTCACACCTGTAATCCCAGCACTTTCGGGGGCTGAGGCGGGTGGATCACACGGTCAGGAGATTGAGACCATCCTGGCTAACACGGTGAAACCATCTCTACTAAAAAAAAAAAATACAAAAAATTAGCTGGGCGTGGTGGCGGGCGCCTGTAGTCCCAGCTACTCGGGAGGCTGAGGCAGGAGAACGGCGTGAACCCGGGTGATGGAGCTTGCAGTGAGCGGAGATCGCGCCACTGCACTCCAGCCTGGGTGACAGAGCGAGACTCCGTCTCAAAAAAATAAAAAATAAATAAAAATAAATAAAGCATCCAGTCAAACTCCATCAAAACCAAGATAGTGACGAGAGTAACCTCTGGTTGTCCTCACCGCTCCACTCCCAGCAGCCCCATGACAGTTTACAAATGCCATGGCAATGTCAGGAAGTTACCCTATGCTGTCTAAAAAGGGGAGGCATGAATAATCCACCCCTTGTTTAGCATATCCATAGAAATAACCATAAAAATGGGCAACCGGCCGGGCGCGGTGGTCACGCCTGTAATCCCAGCACTTTGGGAGGCCGAGGCGGGTGGATCATGAGGTCAGGAGATTGAGACCATCCTGGCTAACACGGTGAAATCCCATCTCTACTAAAAAAAAATACAACTAATTAGCTGGGTGCGGTGGCGGGCGCCTGTAGTCCCAGCTACTCGGGAGGCTGAGGCAGGAGAATGGCCTGAACCCAGGAGGCGGAGCTTGCAGTGAGCCGAGATAGTGCCACTGCACTCTGGCCTGGTGAAAGAGCGAGACTCCGTCTCAAAAAAAAAAAAAAAAAAAAAAAAGGGCAACCGAGGCCGGACGTGGTGGCTTACGCCTGTAATCCCAACACTTTGGGAGGCCGAGGCGGGCATATCACCTGAGCTCAGGAGGTCAAGATCAGCCTGGCCAACATGGTGAAACCCCATCTCTTACTAAAAATACAAAAATTAGCCAGACGTGATGGCAGGCACCTGTAATCCCAGCTACTCAGGAGGCTGAGGCAGGAGAATCACTTGAACTGAAGTGATTCAAGGCAGAGGTTTCAGTGAGCCAAGATCACGCCACTGCACTCCAGCCTGGGCGACAAGAGCAAAACTCCATCTCAAAAAAAATAAGGGCAACTAGCAGCCCTATGGGCTGCTGTCTATGGAGTAGCTATTCTTTTACTCCTTCACTTTCCTAATAAGCTTGCTTCCACTTTACTCCATAGTCTCGCCCTGAATTCTTTCTGGTATGAGATTCAAGAACCCACCATGCCCAGCTCGTCCTTACTTGCTTTTAAAAAATATCATTGGTGGCCGGGCGCGGTGGCTCACGCCTGCAATCCCAGCACTTTGGGAGGCCAAGGCTGGCGGATCACCTGAGGTCCGAAGTTTGAGACCAGCCTGACCAACATGGAGAAACCCCGTCTCTACTAAAATACAAAAAAATTAGCTGGGTGTGGTGGTGCGTGCCTGTAATCCCAGCTACTCAGGAGGCTGAGGCAGGAGAATCACTTGAACCCGGGTGGCAGAGGTTGCAGTGAGCCAAGATCATGCCATTGCACTCCAGCCTGGGCAACAAGAGTGAAACTCCGTCTCAAAAATAAATAAATAAAATCATTGGAATAATTTTCTTCTTTAGGAAGAGCAGCCTTGGGCCAGGCATGGTGGCACATGCCTGGAATCCCCGAACTTTGGGCAGCCCAGGTAGGTGGATTGCTTGAGTTCAAGAGTTCCAGACCAGCCTGGACAACATGATGAAACCTCTTCTTGATCAAATATACAGAATTTCGACTGAGCACAGTGGCTGTAAGCCCAGCATGTTGGGAAGCTGAGGTGGGTGAATCATTTGAGGTCAGACCAGCCTGACTAACATGGCGAAACCCCATCTCTACAAAAAATACAAAAGTTAGCCAGGAGGTCGTGGGCGCCTGTGGTCCCAGCTACTCGGGAGGCTGAGGCAGGAGAATGACGTGAATCCCGGAGTCGTAGGTTGCAGTGAGCCAAGATCGTGCCACTGCACTTCAGCCTGGGCGACACAGCAAGACTGAGGTTGCAGTGAGCTGTGATCCTCAACCTCCTGGGTTCAAGGGATTGTCGAGCCTCAGCCTCCCAAGTAGCTGGGATTATAGACATTCGCTCCCATGCCTGGCTAATTTTTGTATTGCAAAAATGCACTCCAGCCTAGATGACAGGACTGCACTCCAGCCTGGATGACAGAGCAAGACTGTGTCTCAAAAATAAATAAATAAATAAATAAATAGCCAACTGTGATCGTGCATGCCTGTAGTCCCAGCTACTCAGGAGGCCAAGGCAGGAGGATCACTTGAGACTGGGAGGTCATGGCTACAGTGAGCCATGATCTCGCAACTGCACTCCAGCCTGGGCAACAGAGGGAGAGAAAGGAAGGAAGGAGGGAAGGAGGGAAGGAGGGAAGGGAAGGAGGGAAAGGAAGTCAGTCTTGTGGGACAAGGAAGGAAGGAAGGAAGTCAGTCAGTCTTGTGGGACTCAGCCCTGAACCTTTGGGATCTGATGCTGTCCCCAGGTAGGGAGTGTCAGAACTAAATCAAAGGAGAGGACACCCAGCTGGTCTCTGCTGGAGAACTGGTTGTTGGTGGGGAGAAACATACATTTTTGGTGAAGTATTCTGTGTTGAGTGTGAAAGTAGGAAAAACAGGACTGGGTATGGTGGTTCATGCCTGTCATTCCAGGATTTTGGGAGGCCAAGGCAGGCGGATCACTTGAGGTCAGGACTTTGAGACCACCCTGGTGAACATGGCAAAACCCCATCTCTACTAAAAAAAAATACAAAAATTAGCTGGGCGCGGTGGCAGGTGCCTGTAATACCAGCTACTCGGGAGGCTGAGGCAGGAGAATCACTTGAACCCGGGAGGCGGAGGTTGCAGTGAGCTGAGATTGTGCCTTTGCACTCCAGCCTGGGAGACAGAGCAAGACTCTCCCTCAAAAAAAAAAAAAGGCCGGGCGCAGTGGCTCACGCCTATAATATCAGCACTTTGGGAGGCCGAGGCAGGTGGATCACTGACACCCAACACCACGCCTTCTAATTTTTTGCATTTTTAGTAGAAACGGGGTTTCACCATGTTGGCCAGGCTTGTCTCGAACTCCTGTCCTCTGGTGATCCACCTGCCTTGGCCTCCCAAAGTGCTGGAATTACAGGCGTGAACCCAGCAACTTTTCCCCCTTTTATCATACCTTAATTTGCCTCCACCACCCCCAGAAGCTCCAAGTCTCTACGCCTTTTCATTTATGTATGTATGTATTTATTTATTTATTTATTTATTTTATTTTGAGACAGGGTCTCCCTCTATCTCCCAGGCTGCAGTGCAGTGGCGTGATCTTGGCCCACTGCAACCTCCACCTCCCGGGTTCAAGTAATCCTCCTGTCTCAGCCTCCCAAGTAGCTGGGATTACAGGGCACACCACCACACCTGGCTAATTTTTGTATTTTTAGTGGAGACTGGGTTTCACCCTGTTGTCCAGGCTAGTCTCAAACTCCCGACGTCAGGTGATCCACCCATTTCGGTTCCCAAAGTGTTGAGATTACAGACCGTGAGCCACTGGGACGGACACCCCTACTCCTTTCTTCTTCTTCTTCTTTTTTTTTTTTTTTTTGAGATGGAGTCTCCCTTTGAAGCCCAGGCTGGAGTACAATGGTGCGATCTTAGCTCACTGCAGTTTCCTCCTCCCGGGTTCAAGTGATTCTCCTGCCTCAGCCTCCGGAGTAGCTGGGATTACAGGCACACACCACCACACCAGCTAATTTTTGTATTTTTAGCAGAGATGGGGTTTCACCATGTTGGCCAGGCTGGTCTCAAACTCCTGACCTCAGGTGATCCACCCACCTTGGCCTCCCAAACTGCTGGGATCACAGGCGTGAGCCACTGCACCCTACACTCTTATACTCCTTTCTGTAGCTCAGGCAGCTAGATGAGCTTCAATCATCTGGCCCTTCCTCCAGTCTCACATTTTTGTGGGACTCCTGTGCATACATAATTGAATCTGGTTTTTCTTCTGTCAAACTGTTTTGTGTCAATGTAATTCATAGCCCATCCAAAGAACCTAGGAGGGTGGAGGGAATCCATTTTCTCTCCTCCACACTGGAGGGCCATGGAGCCCAAGAGTTCAAGACTGGCCCGGTGTACAAAGTGAGACCCAGTCTCTATTTAAAAAAGATGGGGAGGGGGCCGGGCACGGTGTCTCACGCCTGTAATTCCAGCACTTTGGGAGGCCCAGGTGGGTGGATCACCTGAGGTCAGGAGTCCGAGACTAGCCTGGCCAAGGTGGTGAGACCGTGTCTTTACTAAAAATACAAAATTAGCTTGGTATGGTGGCAGGAGCCTGTAATCCCAGCTACTTGGAAGGCTAGGGCAGGAGAATCGCTTGGTTTGGGATTTTCTCCCTGAGGCACTTGCTATCTCCAGGATTATGGGTCTCAGGTGAAAGAAAGACAAAGAAGGAGAGAGAGACAGAGAGGGACAGGGAAAGAGAATTTCAGACTTATCTAACATTGACACTTAGGAGAAGTAGGGAGAAAGAGGTGGGAAAATAAAGTGGCTAGGTAAAAATGAACATGTCAGTAACAATAATAGCATTAACAATAACTAGTATTGCCGGGTGCAGTGGCTCACGCCTCTAATCCCAGCACTTTGGGACGCCGAGGTGGGCGAATCACAAGGTCAGGAGTTCAAGACCAGCCTGGCCAACATGGTGAAACCCTGTCTCTACTAAAAATACAAAAAGTTAGCTAGCTGGGCATAGTGGTGCATGCCTGTAATCCCAGCTACTCTGGAGGCTGAGGCAGGAGAATCGCTTGAACCCGGGAGGCAAAGGTTGCAGTGAGTCAAGATCAGGCCACTGCACTCCAGCCCAAGGGACAGAGTGAGACTCTGTCTCAAATAATAATAATAATAATAACTAGTGGCCAGGCACAGTGGCTCACGCCTGTAATCCCAGTGTAGCAGGACGAGCCACAGACAAAAACCTCTCAGACACCGAGTTGTAGAAGGAAGGGCTTTATTCAGCTGGGAGCATCGGCAAGCTACTGTCTTAAAATCCAAGCTCCTCGAGTGCACAGTTTCTGTCCCTTTTAAGGGCTCACAACACTAAAGACTGCGCATGAAAGGGTCATGATTGAGCAATCTAGGGGATACATAACAGGGGTTTCGTGCACTGCTGGTCAGAGAGAAAGAATAGGGCAGGGAGTTTCACAGTGTTCTTCTATACAATGCCTGGAATCTATGGATAACATCGGGTTCTAAGTCATGAGTTGATTTTTATCTACTAGGTTTACGCCAGGCAGGCCCAGGCCTGGTTTCGGGTCTGGTTTTGGGTCTGGTGCCTGGCGCCGGGCTACCTGCCTTTGGTTTCACTTCCTTGTTTTTTTCTTTTTCTTTTTTTTTTTTTTTGAGACAGAGTCTTGCTCTGTCGCTAAGGCTGGAGTGCAGTGGCACAATCTCGGCTCACTGCAAGCTCCGCCTCCTGGATTCAAGCAATTCTGCTGCCTCATCCTTCCGAGTAGCTGGGATTACAGGCGCACGCCACCATGCCCGGCTAATTTTTGTATTTTTAATAGAGACGGGGTTTCACCATGTTGGCCAGGCTGGTCTCAAACTCCTGACCTTGTGATCCACCCGCCTTGGCCTCCCAAAGTGCTGGGATTACAGGCGTGAGCCACCGTGCCCGGCCTCCTTGTTTTTTTTCTAAAACAAGTACTGAGTATAAAACAATATAAAACAATATGAGACGGTTTCTCTCTTCCCTCACCAGCACTTTGGGAGGCTGAGGCAGGTGGATCACAAGGTCAGAGTGGATAGCACTTTAGGAGGTTGAGGTGGGAGGATCCCTTGAGCCCAGGAGCTCAAGTCCAGCCTGGGCAACATAGCAAGACCCCCATTTCCAATTTTAGTGTATGTGCTGCCAAAGCAAATACTCTGAGACCCTGTTTCTACAAAAAATAAAAAAATTAAAATTAGTGCTTGGAAAAAAAAATTAGTGCTTGACCAGGAGGCAAGCACACCTCCTCATCCTCTCATGGATGTCTGTCTGTAGAAAGTAAATGGAGACAGCTTCATTTTACCCAACTGCTCCGTTTTAGGTCCGCTCCTGAGCTTCTGTTGTTCCCAGCCATGCAACCCTGGGAGCCGACTCCCGGCTGCAGAGCCTTGTCAGAAGCAGGCAATGTACACAGAGACCCAAGGCCTGGTGTAGACAGGCTTTCACAGACCTGGGCATTTTGTTGAATTGTTTTTGAATTGTGGTTTCTTATCAGTTCATCCGATACTCTGTTCTAACCACGTAGTTCCTCTTTTGGATCTCCAAACCCCTTTGCAGGTTCCATCTACCCGAACCAAACTCACTTATTCCAACAGAAGTCTGGTGTTTCTTGTTTTTTTTGTTTGTTTGTTTCTTTCGTTTTGTTTTTTGAGATGTTGTCTCCCTCTATCACCCAGGCTGGAGTGCAGTGGCGAGATCTCAGCTCACTGCAACCTCTGCTTCCCGGGTTCAAGCAATTCTCCTCCCTCAGCCTCCTGGGTAGCTGGGATTACAGGTGCCTGCCGCCACACCCAGCTAACTTTTGTATTTTTAGTAGAGACGGGATTTCACCATGTTGGCCAGGCTAGTCTCGAGCTCCTGACCTCAAGTGATCCACCCATCTCAGCCTCCCAAAGTGCTGGGATTACAGCCTTAAGCCACCGCGCTCAACCAGAAGTCTGTTTAAATCCATCCTTCTCCCCAGCCACCCATGAGTTATGTGACCTTGGGGTTGCTACTTAACATTTCAGTCTCAATTTCCTCAATAGAACAAAAGTTAGAAGAATTGTAACAAAAGATAGTTTTATTTTTATTTTTATTTTTATTTTTTGAGATGGAGTCTTGCTCTGTCACCTAGGCTGGAGTGCAGTGGTGTGATGGTGGCTCACTGCAAGCTCCGCCTCCCGGATTCACGCCATTCTCCTGCCTCAGCCTCCCAAGTAGCTGGGACTACAGGCACCCGCCACCGTGCCCAGCTAATTTTTTTAATTTTTAGTAGAGACGGGGTTTCACCGTGTTAGCCAGGATGGTCTCGATCTCCTGACCTCGTGATCCGCTTGCCTCGGCCTCCCAAAGTGCTGGGATTACAGGCGTGAGCCACCATGCCCAGCACAAAAGATAATTTCTTAATCCCATGCATTTGAGTCTTAAAAAAATATTCTATATAATTCCAAGGTCAAAGAAGAAATAACAAAGGGCATTTTTAAAAATGCTAGAACTGAGTGGTGGTGAAATTGCTGTTGAAATGTGTTTGTTGCACTGATGGAAATTTATAAATGTAAATATTTATATTAAAATATAAAATAATGGGCCAGGCATAGTGGCTCACACCTGTAATCTCAGTACTTTGGGAGGCCAAGGCGGGAGGGCCATGGAGCCCAGGAGTTCAAGACCGGCCCGGTGTACAAAGTGAGACCCAGTCTCTAGTTAAAAAAGAGGGGGAGTGGGCCAGGCACAGTGTCTCACGCCTGTAATTCCAGCACTTTGGGAGGCCAAAGCAGGTGGATCACCCGAGGTCAGGAGTCCAAGACCAGCCCGGCCAAGGTGGTGAAACCCCGTGTCTACTAAAAATACAAAATTAGCTTGGTATGGTGGCGGGAGCCTATAATCCCAGCTAGGGCAGGAGAATCACTTGAACCCGGGAGGCAGAGGTTGCAGTGAGCCAAGATCATGCCACTGCACTCCAGCCTGGGCAACAACAGAGAGACTTCATCTCTAAATAAATAAATAAATAAATAAAAGAAAATACAAATTTTTTAAAAAAGGTACTGTGGCTGGGCGTGGTGGTTCACACCTGTAATCCCAGCACTTTGGGAAGCCGAGGCAGGTGGATCTCAGATCAGGAGTTCAAGAAGAGCCTGGCCAGCATGGTGAAAACCTATCTGTACTAAAAATTAGCCTGGCATGGTGGCAGGTGCCTGTAGGAGGCTGAGGCAAGAGAATTGCTTGAGCCCCGGAGGCAGAGGTTGCAGTGAGCCGAGACCACACCACTGCACTCCAGCCTGGGCAACAGAGCGAGAGTCTGTCTCAAAAAGGAAACAAAAAAAAAAGTACCTCCAAATTATGGTAGGGTGTCCATATTAAGAAGGTAGAAAAAGGTCGGGGGAAGTGGATGCCTGTAATCCCAGAACTTTGGGAGGCTGAGGCGGGTGGATCACCTGAGGTCAGGAGTTCAAGAACAGCCTGGCCAAAAGGGTATGGTGAAACCCCATCTCTACTAGAACTACAAAATTAGCCGGGCGTGGTGGTACATGCCTGTAATCCCAGCTACACAGGAGTCTGAGGCAGGAGAATCACAGGAAACCGGCAGGCAGAGGTTGCAGTGAGCTGAGATCGCGCCATTGCACTCCAGCCTGGGCGACAAGAGCAAAACTCCATCTCAAAAAAAAAAAAAAGAAAAAATGAAAAAGAATTTATTGAAATGTGCAGTCTGAAAACTGCTCCTGCACATTTTCATTCATCCTTCCTATTCCCTCCATCCCTCAATTTTTTTTTTTTTTTTGAGACAGAGTTTCGCTCTTGTTGCCCAGGCTGGAGTGCAATGGCACGATCTCAGCTCACTGCAACCTCTGCCTCCCAGGTTCCAGCCATTTTCCTGCCTCAGCCTCCAGAATAGCTGGAATTACAGGCATCTGCCACTACGCCTGGCTAATTTTTTGTGTATTTTTAGTAGAGATGGGATTTCACCATGTTGGTCAGGCTGATCTCGAACTCCTGACCTCAGGTGATCCACCCGCCTCGGCCTCCCAAAGTGCTGGGATTACAGGCATGAATCACCACGCCCGGCCCCTCATTTTCTTTTCTTTCTTTCTTTCTTTTTTGTTTGTTTGTTTTTGAGACAGAGTCTTGCTCTGTCACCCAGGCTGGAGTGCAGTGGCGCGATCTCAGCTCACTGCAAGCTCCGCCTCCCGGGTTCACGCCATTCTCCTGCCTCAGCCTCCCGAGTAGCTGGGACTACAGGCGCCCGCCACCACGCCCGGCTAATTTTTTGTATTTTTAGTAGAGACGGGGTTTCACCGTGTTAGCCAGGATGGTCTCCATCTCCTGACCTCGTGATCCGCCCGCCTCGGCCTCCCAAAGTGCTGGGATTACAGGCGTGAGGCACCACACTGGGCCCCCTCACTTTCTTATTCTTTCTAGGATAGGCAACTGAGCGCGGCAGTGAAGAGCTGGGCTTCCGGAAGCTGACAGCTGTTTGTGATCTTCAAGACCTCAGACAGGTTTTCTAAATATGCCTTGCCTTCATTTTCTCAAGGAAAGTGAAAAATGGGTAGGATCATGGCAATCACTACTGTGTAGCAATGTTTAGAGGACTTAATAAGTAAACACAGGGTCAAGCATGGTGGCTCACACCGGAAATCCCAGCACTTTGGGAGGCCGTGGTGGGAAGATTGCTTAAGCCCATGGGGTTGAGACCAGCCTGGGCAACATAGTGAGACCTCCATCTCTATAAAAAATACAAAAATCTAGTCAGGCGTGATGGCGTATGCCTGTAGCCTTCAGTAAGCTATGATTGTGCCACTGCACACCAGCCTAGGCGACAGAGTGAGACCCTGTCTCAAAAAGAAAAAACGAAAAGAAATATAGATGTACATATACATATGTTGGTTCTAAAACATGAAAAAGGCTGGGCGCGGTGGTTCGTGCCTGCAACCCAAGCACTTTGGGAGGCCGAGGCGGGCGGATCACGAGGTCAAGAGTTTGAGACCAGCCTGGCCAACATAGTGAAACCCCATCTCTACTAAAAATACAAAAAAAAGGCTAGGCGCAGTGGCTCATGCCTGTAATCCTAGCACTTTGGGAGGCCGAGGTGAGCAGATTACCTGAGGTTGGGAGTTCAAGACCACCCTGTCCAACATGGTGAAACCCCATCTCTACTAAAAATAAGAAAATTAGCCGGGTACAGTGGCACGCGCCTGTAATCCCAGCTATTCAGGAGGCTGAGGCAGGAGAATCGCTTGAACTCTGGAGGCGGAGGTTGCAGTGAGCCAAGATTGCGCCACTGCACTCCAGCCCGGGCGACAGTGCCAGACTCAGTCTCAGAAAAAAAAAAAGCAAAACAAACAAAGAAACATGAAAAAAAGCTATAAAACCCAACTTTTTTCTTTTTTTTTTTGAGACGGAGTCTCACTCTGTCGCCCAGGGTGGAGTGCAGTGGTGCGGTCTCGGCTCACTGCAACCTCCGCCTCCTGGGTTCAAGCAATTCTCTGCTTCAGCCTCCCAAGTAGCTGGGATTACAGGCACCCGCCACCACGCCCGACTAATTTTTTGTATTTTTAGTTGAGACGGGGTTTCATCATCTTGGCCAGGCTGGTCTTGAAGTCCTGACCTCGTGATCCACCCGCCTTGGCCTCCCAAAGTGCTGGAATTACAGGCGTGAGCCACCGCGCCCGGCCAAAACCCAACTTTTTAGTCTTATTTATATGGTGTTTTTTTTTTTTTTTTTTTTTTTGAGATGGAGCCTTGCTCTGTCGCCCAGGCTGGAGTGCAGTGGCGCGATCTCGGCTCACTGCAAGCTCCGCCTCCCGGGTTCACGCCATTCTCCTGCCTCAGCCTCCCGAGTAGCTGGGACTACAGGTGCCCGCCACCACGCCCGGCTAATTTTTTGTATTTTTAGTAGAGACGGGGTTTCACCGTGTTAGCCAGGATGGTCTCGATCTCCTGACCTCGTGATCCACCTGCCTCGGCCTCCCAAAGTGCTGGGATTACAGGCGTGAGCCACTGTGCCCGGCTATATGTTTACAAAATTAATACTGCCAGCCAGGCACGGTGGCTCACGCCTGTAATCCCAGCACTTTAGGAGGCTGAGGCTGGCAGATCACCTGAGGTCAGGAGTTTGAGACCAGCCTGGCCAGCATGGCAAAACCCCGTCTCTATTGAAAAAAATACAAAAATTAACCAGGCGTTGTGGCGCATGCTTGTAATCTCAGCTACTCGGGAGGCTGAGGCAGGGGAATCACTTGAAGCCGGCAGGCGGAGGCTGCGGGGAGCCGAGATCGTGCCGTTGCACTCCAGCCTGGGGAACAGAGCAAGACTCCATTAAAAATAAAATAATAATAATACTGTGAATGTGAAACTGATGAACTTGGTGCTTTTCATGCGTCTCATAGTTGACGTGTCATTGATATTTCACTTGAAATACGGTTGGATTTTTATTAATAATATACCTGGGGTGATGGGAGAAGGTAGCCAATCACAGCTGAGGCTTCTAAGCGGTGATTCTCAGCCTCGGCCGCAATCACAATTATCTGGGACTCTCGAAAGAACTCCAGGGTCTGGGCAGTCCCAGTGTAACCAATCAAGCAGAATCTCTAGGCGTTCGTGCTTTGAAATGAGGCTCCACATAGGTAAGTTTAACAGGCAGTCAAGATGGAGGACCACAGGTGGAGATCGGGAAGCTCAGGTGAAGGACCGCCCCCCAACACCCCCCGCCCCCAAAAGACCTCTCAGTAATTCCGGTGGATACAGGAAGTGCTCAGCAACGATTACGCCCCGAGGGCCAATCACAGGGCTGCGGCCGAGAAAGAAGCCTTAATAGAGCTTTCTCAACCTGCAGCCCTCATCTCCGCCGGCGAGTAGGGCCAGGTGTTGGGAGGTGAGTAGCTCTCCGGCAGCTCTGCAACTTCATTTCTTTATTTCTCCATTCCACAGTTGGTAAAATTTCTCCTTTTATTTCATATATTTTTTTTCTGAGACGGAGTCTCGCTCTGTCGCCCAGGCTGGAGTGCAGTGGCGCGATCTCTGCTCACTGCAAGCTCCGCCTCCCGGGTTCACGCCATTCTCCTGCCTCAGCCTCCCGAGTAGCTGGGACTACAGGCGCCCGCCACCACGCCCGGCTAATTTTTTGTATTTTTAGTAGGTGGCTCACGCCTGTAATCCCAGCACTTTAGGAGGCTGAGGCTGGCAGATCACCTGAGGTCGGGAGTTTGAGACCAGCCTGGCCAGCATGGCAAAACCCCGTCTCTATTGAAAAAAATACAAAAATTAACCAGGCGTTGTGGCGCATGCTTGTAATCTCAGCTACTCGGGAGGCTGAGGCAGGGGAATCACTTGAAGCCGGCAGGCGGAGGCTGCGGGGAGCCGAGATCGTGCCGTTGCACTCCAGCCTGGGGAACAGAGCAAGACTCCATTAAAAATAAAATAATAATAATACTGTGAATGTGAAACTGATGAACTTGGTGCTTTTCATGCGTCTCATAGTTGACGTGTCATTGATATTTCACTTGAAATACGGTTGGATTTTTATTAATAATATACCTGGGGTGATGGGAGAAGGTAGCCAATCACAGCTGAGGCTTCTAAGCGGTGATTCTCAGCCTCGGCCGCAATCACAGTTATCTGGGACTCTCGAAAGAACTCCAGGGTCTGGGCAGTCCCAGTGTAACCAATCAAGCAGAATCTCTAGGCGTTCGTGCTTTGAAATGAGGCTCCACATAGGTAAGTTTAACAGGCAGTCAAGATGGAGGACCACAGGTGGAGATCCGGAAGCTCAGGTGAAGGACCGCCCCCCAACACCCCCCGCCCCCAAAAGACCTCTCAGTAATTCCGGTGGATACAGGAAGTGCTCAGCAACGATTACGCCCCGAGGGCCAATCACAGGGCTGCGGCCGAGAGAGAAGCCTTATTAGAGCTTTCTCAACCTGCAGCCCTCATCTCCGCCGGCGAGTAGGGCCAGGTGTTGGGAGGTGAGTAGCTCTCCGGCAGCTCTGCAACTTCATTTCTTTATTTCTCCATTCCACAGTTGGTAAAATTTCTCCTTTTATTTCATATATTTTTTTTCTGAGACGGAGTCTCGCTCTGTCGCCCAGGCTGGAGTGCGGTGGCGCGATCTCGGCTCACTGCAAGCTCCGCCTCCCGGGTTCAGGCCATTCTCCTGCCTCAGCCTCCCGAGTAGCTGAGACTACAGGCACCTGCCACTATGCCCAGCTAATTTTTTTGTATTTTTAGTAGAGACGGGGTTTCACCATGTTGGCCAGGCTGGTCTCAGTCCGCCTCGGCCTCCCAAGGTGCCGGGATTACAGGCGTGAGCCACCGCGCCCAGCCTTTTTTTTTTTTTTTTTTTTTTTTTTCTTCTCTTTTTTGAGGGTCTTACTCTGTTTCCCAGGCTGGAGCGCTGTGGCAGGATCTCGGCTCACTGAACCCTTGACCTCTCAGGTTCAAGCAGTCCTCACGCCTCAGCCTTTGAAGTAGCTGGGACCGTGGGAGGGTGCCACCACATCTGTTCTGGCTAATAATATTATTATTACCACTGTTTGCAGAGACTCACTAGATGTAGGGTCTTAATATGTTGCCGAAGCTGGTCTCTAACTCCTGGGCTCAAGCGATCTTCCTGCCTCAGACTCCCAAAATTCTGGGATTATAGGCAGGTGCCACCGCGCCCGGCCTAAATCTTTTCTTCTGTTAGAAATTAAGTGGTTCTGCCTGTCTCAGTGGCTCACGCCTGTAATCGCAGCGCTTTGGGAGGCCGAGGCGGGAGGATCACCTGAGGTCGGGAGTTCGAGACCAGCCTGACCAACATGTAGAAACCCCATCTCTACTAAAAATATAAAATTAGGTGGGCGTGGTAGCGCATACTTGTAATCCTAGCTACTCAGGAGGCTGAGGCAGGAGAATCACTTGAACCCGGGAAGCGGAGGTTGCGGGGAGCCTAGATCATACCATTGCTCTCCAGCCTGCGCAGCAAGAGAGAAACTGTCTCAAAAAATAAAATAAAATAAAATTCAGTGGTTCTGACTGGGGAAAGAGTAGCAGATGCTTAGATCTAGAGAGACTCTAGTTAAGGTTGGCTCATAAGAGGATAGTTGTGTGTGCTTTTATTTCTGTTCTCTTGGGGGATTTAGGATAGAGCTATAGAGAGCTCCAAAAAAAAAAATATATTGGAACAGGTCAGATGCTGTGGTTGCTGTGTGTGGAGTCCTGGGCAGTGCTAAGGTTTTGTGTCTAATGAGTCCTCTTAACAAGAAGGTATTGTTTTTTATTCACTGAGGTGAGGGAGCCTCTTAGCATCATTCTAGTCCAGCTTCCGGACCTGAGTCTTATGCAAATACCTATGCCAGTTGCCATTCTCACGCTATTCACAGCTATCATATAAAGAGGTGTTATACCCTTTCTGTAAAGTTTTTGTTGCTACTGCTATTTTTTTTTTTTTTTTTTTGAGACAAAGTCTAGCTCTGTTTCCCAGGCTGGAGTACAGTGGCGCTATCTCAGCTCACTGCAACTTCCACCTCCCAGGTTCAAGCAATTCTCGTGCCTCAGCCTTCTAAGTAGCTGGGACTACAGCCGCCTGTCACCAACCTGGCTAATTTTCGTATTTTTAGTCGATATAGGGTTTCACTATGTTGGCCAGGCTGGTCTCAAGCTCCAGACCTCAGGTGATCCTCCCACCTTGGACTCCCAAAGTGCTGTGATTACAGGCGTGAGCCACCGCACCCGGCCCTGTTGTTTTTAAAATAGAGACAGGGTCTTAAGTTGCCAGGCTGGTCTGGAACTTCTGGACTGGAGTGATCACCCACCTGAGCTTCCCAAAGTGCGGGGATTGCAAGCGTCAGCCACCACCCCCAGTGTTGTGTTTTTGTTTGTTTTACCAGGCTGGAGTGCAGTGGTGCGATCACAGCTCACTGCAGCCTTAACTTCCCTGGCTCAGGTGATCCTCCCACCTCAGCCTCCTCAGTAGCTGGGACTACAGGTGCATGCCACTATGCCCAGCACAATTTTTTTTTTTTTTGTATTTTTTTGTAGAGACAGGGTTTTGCCATGTTGCCCAGGCTGGTCTCAAACTCCAAGCAATCCTCCCACCTTGGCTTCCCAAAGTGTTTGGGGTTCCAGGTGTGAGCCATGGCCCCCCGGCCAGCTTCAGTAAAGTAAAAGCCACACACCTGTGTCCTGAGACCAGGCTCCACCACTAAGTTATCTTTAAGCCTTTTTTTTTTTTGAGACAGTTTCACTCTTGTCGCCCCAGGCTGGAGTGCAGTGGCGCCATGTCAGCTCACCACAACCTCTGCCTCCCACTCCCAGGTTCAAGCGATTCTCCTGCCTCAGCCTCCCAAGTAGCTGGAACTACAGGCACCTGCCACCACGCCCGGCTAATTTTTTGTATTTTTAGTAGAGACGGGGTTTCACTGTGTTAGCCAGGATGGTCTCGATCTCCTGACCTCACGATCCGCCCGCCTCGGCCTCCCAAAGTGCTGGGATTGCAGGCGTGAGCCACCGCGCCCGGCTGTGTGTTTGCATTATCATATTCAGCCCAGTTTTCACGAAGTTTCTTGTCTCCTGGGTGATCCACGTAGCTCCCCACTTCCTTATCTGATCTATGCTTGTCCTTTCATTGTTGTGTTACTACTTTGCTATAATGAGAGAGTGTTTTCGCTTTATAGGTTAACTTTTAGAACCTGAGCAGCCCCTCAGGGAAAACCCTGACAGTAGCTGGTTATTTTGCAATTAGAAAAACTAGCTGGGCACTGAGGCAGGTGAATCACGAGGTCAGGAGTTCGAGACCAGCCTGGCCAACTTGGTGAAACCCCCCATCTCTACTAAAAATACAAAAAAATTAGCTGGGCACAGTGGTGAATGCCTGTAATCCCAGCTACTTGGGAGGCTGAGGCAGGAGAATTGCTTGAATCCGGGAGGCAGAGGTTGTAGTGAGCCGAGATTGCAGCACTGCACTCCAGCCAGGGTGACAAAGTGAGACTCCGTCTCAAAAAAAAAAAAAAAAAAAATACAAAAAGTAGCTGAGCGTGGTGGTGGGTGCCCATAATCCCAGCTAGTCGGGAGGCTGAGGCAGGAGAACTGTTTGAACCTGGGAGGCAGAGGTTGCAGTGAGCTGAGATCGTACTACTGTACTCCAGCCTGGGCTGCAGAGTGAAACTATCTCAAAAATAAGTAAATAAAAGTAAAATGAGTTGAGGTCTTGCTCTGTTGCCCAGATGGGAGTGCAGTGGCACAATCAAGGCTCACTGCAGTTTCAGTCTCCCAGGCTCAAGCAATCCTCCCACTGCAGCCTCCTGAGTAGCTGGGACTACAGGCATGTACCACCACCCACTGCTAACTTATTTTTCATGGAGATGGGGGTCTCACTATGTTGCCCAGGCTGGGAGTTTGTTCTTGAAGAAGCAGGGTAGATGGTGAGTGTCCTTGTTCGTGGCACAGCAGGAACTGGCATTTGAGACAGGAGTGCTAATCACCATCCCTCTCCACTCCTCCCTTGATTGTCATCACAGCTCCCACGTGGGACAAGATGGTGTCTTCGGCGCAGATGGGCTTCAACCTGCAGGCTCTCCTGGAGCAGCTCAGCCAGGATGAGTTGAGCAAGTTCAAGTATCTGATCACGACCTTCTCCCTGGCACACGAGCTCCAGAAGATCCCCCACAAGGAGGTAGACAAGGCTGATGGGAAGCAACTGGTAGAAATCCTCACCACCCATTGTGACAGCTACTGGGTGGAGATGGCGAGCCTCCAGGTCTTTGAAAAGATGCACCGAATGGATCTGTCTGAGAGAGCAAAGGATGAAGTCAGAGGTGAGTGGAAATCGGTCCACACTGTGTCCTAGGAGGAAGCAGGCGTCCTCTCCAGGACTTTAGAAATTCAGAAGGCCAGGCGCGCTGGCTCACGCCTGTCGTCCCAGCCCTTTGGGAGGCTGAGGCGGTTGGACCACCTGAGGGTCAGGAGTTTGAGACCAGCCTGACCAACATGGTGATGAAACAGCATCTCTACTAAAAATACAAAAATTTGCTGGACGTGGTGGCAGACACCTGTAATCCCAGCTACTCCGGGAGGCTGAGGCAGGAGAATCACTTAAATCTAGGAGGCGGGGGTTGCTATGAGCCGAGATCACGCCATTGCACCCCAGCCTGGGCAACAAGAGCAAAATTCTGTCTCAAAAAAAAAAAGAAATGGCATTGAGGCTTGGAGAGGGACTGCTTGTTCTGAATGCAGGTGCTGGATCTTCATAAACCCTGGTGTCTGTCCTGGTCCTTATTTTCTACCTACTTCTTTTTTTTTTTTTTTTTGTCCTTTTATTTTTTTATTTTTTATTTTATTATTATTATTTTTTTTATTATACTTTAAGTTTTAGGGTACATGTGCACATTGTGCAGGTTAGTTACATATGTATACATGTGCCATGCTGGTGCGCTGCACCCACTAACTCGTCATCTAGCATTAGGTATATCTCCCAATGCTATCCCTCCCCCCTCCCCCCACCCCACCACAGTCCCCAGAGTGTGATGTTCCCCTTCCTGTGTCCATGTGATCTCATTGTTCAATTCCCACCTATGAGTGAGAATATGCGGTGTTTGGTTTTTTGTTCTTGTGATAGTTTACTGAGAATGATGGTTTCCAATTTCATCCATGTCCCTACAAAGGACATGAACTCATCATTTTTTATGGCTGCATTGTATTCCATGGTATATATGTGCCACATTTTCTTAATCCAGTCTATCATTGTTGGACATTTGGGTTGGTTCCAAGTCTTTGCTATTGTGAATAATGCTGCAATAAACATACGTGTGCATGTGTCTTTATAGCAGCATGATTTATAGTCATTTGGGTATATACCCAGTAATGGGATGGCTGGGTCAAATGGTATTTCTAGTTCTAGATCCCTGAGGAATCCCCACACCGACTTCCACAATGGTTGAACTAGTTTACAGTCCCACCAACAGTGTGAAAGTGTTCCTATTTCTCCACATCCTCTCCAGCACCTGTTGTTTCCTGACTTTTTAATGATCGCCATTCTAACTGGTGTGAGATGATATCTCATAGTGGTTTTGATTTGCATTTCTCTGATGGCCAGTGATGATGAGCATTTTTTCATGTGTTTTTTGGCTGCATAAATGTCTTCTTTTGAGAAGTGTCTGTTCATGTCGTTCGCCCACTTTTTGATGGGGTTGTTTGTTTTTTTCTTGTAAATTATTTTCTACCTATTTCTATCGCTTTCAGGTATCGTACAGTTGGCCTAACATATCTGTGGATTTAACCAATCCTAGATCAAAAATAATGGGGGCAAAGACAATTAAAAATAACAATACAATAAAATGCACATGAACTATGGTTATTTAACTCTTCTTGAGAGAGGATCTCACTCTGTCACCCAGGCTGGAATTTAGCAGCACGATCTCGGCTCACTGCAACCTCCGCCTCCCGGGTTCAAGCGATTCTCCTGCCTCAGCCTCCCGAGTAGCCGGGATTACAAGCATGTCCCACCATGCCTGGCTGATTTTTTTTTTTTTTTTTTTTGTATTCTAAATAGAGATGGGGTTTCACCATGTTAGCCAGGATAGTCTCGATGTCGTGACCTCATGATCTGCCCGCCTCGGCCTCCCAAAGTGTTGGGATTACAGGCGTGAGCCACCGCACCCAGCCAGCAAGTGCATTTAGAACTACTCTACTTTCTACCCCATAACTTTTTTTTTTGTTTGTTTGAGACAAGTCTCACTCTGTCACCCAGGATGGAGTGCAGCAGCACAATCTCAGCTTATTGCAACTCCCGCCCCCTGGGTTCAAGTGTTTCTCCTGCATCAGCCTCTTGAATAGCTAGGATTATACAGGCACCTGCCACTGTGCCTGGCTAAATTTTGTATTTTAATAGAGATGGGGTTTCACTATGTTGGCCAGGCTGGTCTTGAACTCCTGACCACGTGATCAACCCGCCTCAGCCTCCCAATGTGCTGGAATTACAGGTGTGAGCCGCCATGCCCAGCTACACTTTTTTTTGAAACGGGGTCTCGTTTTCTTGCTCAGGCTGGAGTACAATGGGGCAATCACAGCTCACTGCAGCCTTGACCTCCCAGACTTGAGCAATCCTACCACTATGGCCTCCCACCACACCTCGCTCATTCTTGTATATATATATATTTTTGTAGAGATAGGGTTTCACCATGTTGCCCAGGCTGGTCTCGAACTTCTGTGGGCTCAACCGATCCTCCTGCCTTGGCTTCCCACAGTCCTGGGATCAGAAACATGAGCCACAGTGCCTGGCCAGTGCAGCTTTATTTACAGTAACCAAGATATAGAGTCAGTCTAAGTGACCATCAGTGGATGAATAAAAAATGTGCCCGTTGGGTACCCTGCCTACTGCCTGGGTTATGAGATTGTTGGGACCCCAAGCCTTAAAAAGGAAACATGGTAGGCCGGGCACAGTGGCTCACGCCTGTAATCACAGCACTTTGGGAGGCCAAGGCGGGTGGATCACTTGAGGCCAGGAGTTTGAGACCAGTCAGGCCAATGTGGTGAAACCCTGTCTCTACTAAAAATATAAAAAAATCAGCCGGGCGTGGTGGCACACTCCTGTAGTCCCAGCTACTTGGGAGGCTGAGGCAGGAGGATTGCTTGAACCAGAGAGTCAGAGGTTGCAGTGAGCCAAGATCGTGCCACTGCGCTCCAGCCTGGGTGACAGCAAGACTCCATCTCAAAAAAAAAAAACAAACAAACATGGTATTAATTACACAATGGAATACTCCTCAACCTTAAGGAACTCCTATCTTTTTATTTAAAAATTGCCAGTTTTATTTCAGCTAGAGATCACTTTTTAGCATAATGTTTCCTGTCTTTAACAATGGGTGAGGGTTTTTTTTTTTTTTTTTTTGGTTTGGTTTGGATTTTGGTTTTGCTTTTGAGTCGAAGTTTCACTCTTGTCTCCCAGGCTAGAGTGCAATGGCGCGATCTCGGCTCACTGTGACCTCCTCCTCCCAGGTTTAAGTGATTCTCCTGCCTCAGCCTCCAGAGTAGCTGGGATTACAGGCGCCTACCACCATGCCCGCTAATTTTTGTATTTTAGTAGAGACAGGGTTTTACCATGTTGACCAGACTGGTCTCGAACTCCCGACCTCAGGTGATCTGCCCACCTCAGCCTCCCAGAGTGCTGGGATTACAGGTGTGAGCAACCATGCCCGGCCAAGGGTTTTTAACTTTAGCTGACCTCCGGAGGTTACAAGTTTGAAAACGGCAGGAGGAAACCCAGAGAGTTGTAAACTTACGAAGGTCTGGGCTCTGAAAAAGATACAAATTTTCTTTCCATGCCAATAGCGCTCACACAGACATGGTGAATGTTCCTGAAACCCGCCGGACTTTCTGTAAGAAGTGTGGCAAGCACCACCCCCACAAAGTGACACAAGGCAAGGATTCTTGGTATGCCCAGGGGAAGTAGTGTTATGACAGGAAGCAGAGTGGCTATGGTGGGCAGACTAAGCCGATTTTCCGGAAAAAGGCTAAAACTACAAAGAAGATTGTGCTAAGGCTTGAGTGCCTTGAGCCCAACTGCAGATCTAAGAATGCTGGCTATTAAAAGATACAAGCAGCCAAGCGCGGTGGCTCACGCCTGTAATCCCAACACTTTGGGAGGCCGAGGTGGGCGGATCACAAGGTCAGGAGTCTGAGACCAGCCTGGCCAAAATGGTGAAACCCCATCTCTACTAAAAATACAAAACTTAGCTGGGCATGGTGGTGTATGCCTATAGTCCCAGCTACTCAGGAAGCTGAGGCAGGAGAATCGCTTGAACCTGGGAGGCAGAGGTTGCAGTGAGCCAAGATTGTGCCACTCCAGCCTGGGCAACAGAGTGACACTCTGTCTCAAAAAAAAAAGATGCAAGCATTTTGAACTGGAAGGAGATAAGAGAAAGGAACAAGTGATCCAGTTCTAAGTGTCATCTTTTCTTTTATGAAGGCAATAAAATCTTGAGCTTATGGTAAAATGCAAAATTTTCCCCCCTTCTCCTTTTTCAGAAGCAGCTTTGAAATCCTTTAATAAAAGGAAGCCTCTATCATTAGGTAAGTTACCTCATTTATAACTTTTATTCTTCATGTGAGATCTGGGGACTCGGGCCTTTGTTTTAAGGAGAATGTGCTGAGCACTAAGAATGCAAAGAAATGCCGGACTTAGCATCCCTGCTCCCAGGGCGGAGCTGGTCTCGCAGGTGCGTAGCAGTAAGACCTGGGAAGCTGAAACACGATCGCGTTTGTTGGAAATCTATAAATACATACAAAGCGGGGAAGGGTAAGCTTGGCCTTTGAATCTGGATAAGGTAGAGACTTTTCTTTTTTGAGATGGAGGCTTGCTCTGTCACCTAGGCTGAAGTGCAGTGGTACGACCTCGGCTGACTGCAACCTCTACCTCCTGGGTTCAAGCAGTTCTCCTGCCTCAGCCTCTAGAATAGCTGGGATTACAGGTACCTGCCACCAGGCCCGGCTAATTTTTTGTGGTGTTTGTAGAGATGGGGTTTCACCATGATGGCCAGGCTGGTCTTGAACTCCTGACCTCAAGTGATCTGCCCACCTCAGCGTCCCAAAATGCTGGGATTATGGGCATGAGCCACCACCACACCCGGTTTTGTTTTTTTTTTTTTTTTTTTTTTTTTTTTTTTTTTTTTGAAACAGGGCTTCACTCTGTCACTTAGGCTGGAGTGGTGCAATCATGGTTCACTGCAGCCTTGACCTCCCAAGCTCTGGTGATCCTCCTGCCTCAGCCTCCTGAGTAGCTGGGACCACAGGCACTTGCCACCATGCCTGGCTAATTTTTTTCACTTTTTGTAGAGACAGGGTCTTGCTATGTTGCCCAGGCTGGCCTCGAATTACTAAACTCAATCAGTCCTCCTGCCTCACCCTCCCAAACTGCTGGGGTACAGGTGTGAGCCATGACACCTGGCCCTTACCAGCTACTTATATCCTGAAGATTATTATTATTTTTTTTTTTTTTGAGATAGAGTCTCTCTCTGTTGCCCAGGCTGGAGTGCAGTGGCGTGATCTCGGCTCACTGCAAGCTCCGCCTCCCGGGTTCATGCCATTCTCCTGCCTCAGCCTCCCGAGTAGCTGGGACTACAGGCGCCCACCACCACGCCTGGCTAATTTTTTTGTGTTTTTAGTAGAGACGGGGTTTCACCGTGTTAGCCAGGATGGTCTCGATCTCCTGACCTTGTGATCCGCCCGCCTCGGCCTCCCAAAGTGCTGGGATTACAGGCGTGAGCCACCGCGCCCGGCCCCTGAAGATTGTGTTTTGAGATGGGGTCTTGCTGTGTTGCTCCGGCTTGATTGCAGTGGCACAGTCATAGCTCATTGCAGCCTCAACCTTCCAGGCTCCAGAGATCCTCTTACCTCAGCCTCCTGAGTAGCTGGGACTACAGGTGTGCACTGCCACACCTGACTAATATTTGTATTTTTGGTAGGGACAGTTTCACTATGTTGCCAGATATGGTGTCAAACTCCTGGTCTCAAGTGATCCTCCCACCTTGGCCTCCCAAAGTGCTGGGATTACAGACATGATTCACCACACCTGGCCATGAAGACTTTTTTTTTTTGGACAAAGTCTCACTCTGTTGCCCAGGATGGAATGCAGTGGCATGATCTCAGCTCACTGCAACCTCTGACCTCCGCCTCCCGGTTCAAGTGATTCTCTTGCCTCAGCCTCCCGAGTAGCTGGGATTATAGGTGTCTGCCACCAAGCCCAGCTAATTTTTGTAATTTTAGTAGAGATGGGGTTTCACCATGTTGGCCAGGCTGGTCTTGAACTCCTGACCTCGTGATCCACGTGCCTCAGCCTCCCAAAGTGTTGGGATTACAGGTGTGAGTCACTGCGCCTGGTCTCATGAAGACCTTTTTTGAGACAGAGTCTTGCTCTGTCACCCAGGCTGGAGTGCAGTGGTACAATCTCACTGCAGCCTCCGCCTCCCAGGTTCAAGTGATTCTCCTGCCTTAGCCTCCCAAGTAGCTGGGATTACAGGCGCCTACCACCACGTCTGGCTAATTTTTGTATTTTTAGTAGAGACAGGGTTTCACCATGTTGGCCAGGCTGGTCTCAAACTGCTGACCTCAAATGAACTGTCTGCCTCAGCCTCACAAAGTACTGGGATTACAGGCATGAGCCACCTCACCTGGTGGTGAAGACTCTAAAGGCTCTTCTCAGATCAGCCTTTGTCCTGAATTTCACATGCCCGTGTCCAGTTCCCTCCCCAGCATCTTTTCAGGAGTTCCATGGACTCACCTCTTCATTATCCAGGGTTAAGCTGCAGATATTGTTATTAGGATTCCACCTTGTTCTCTCTCTTTTTTTTTTTTTTTTTGATACGGAGTCTCGCTTGCTCTTTTGCCAGGCTGAAGTGCAGTGGAGCGATCTTGGCTCACTGCAATCTCCGCCTCCTGGGTTCAAGCAATTCCCTTGCCTCAGCCTCGCAAGTAGCTGGGACTTACAGGTAACACACCACCATGCCCGGCTAATTTTTTGTTTTAGTAGAGACGGGGCTTCACCATGTTGGCCGGGATGGTCTCGATCTCCTGACCTCATGATCCGCCTGCCTTGGCCTCCCAAAGTGTTGGGTTACAGGCATGAGCCACCATGCCCGGCTGATTCCACCTTGTTCTTACATTCTTTCCCAGTTCATTTTAAATTTATCTACCTCATCAGAAACTAGGGGGTTAGGCCTGGCAGGCAGATCACCTGAGGTTGGGAGTTCGAGACCAGCCTGACCAACGTAGAGAAACCCTGTCTGTACTAAAAATACAAAATTAGCCAGGTATGGTGGCACATTCCTGTAATCCCAGCTACTCCGGAGGCCGAGGCAGGAGAATCACTTGAACCCAGGAGGCGGAGGTTGCAGTGAGCCGACATCACACCATTGCATTCCAGCCTGGGCAACAAGAGCAAAACTACATCTCAAAAAAAAAGAAAAACTAGGCAGTTAATCCTCAAAGCCTTTCCAGTGGCCTTATGCGTGAGTAGTTTGTGTGTGTGTGTGTGTGTGTGTGTGTGTGTGTGTGTCTTTCACACCATGTGTTCTGAACTACTTAGGAATTCTCACCAGAAAGGCACATAAACCTGGGATCATGGCCTAATGTACTTTCACTTTTACATCCAGTACCTTATCAACGTCCTTTTTAGTACCTAATCTAGGCTTCACTACTGAGACTCAGGGGTCCAACTTGAGCCATCTTGGAGTCCCACTGCCAGCACAGCAACAGGCCTGTAATGCCGCCCTTTTTCTCCAGGGATAACACGGAAAGAACGACCACCTCTAGACGTGGACGAAATGCTGGAGCGCTTCAAAACAGAAGCACAAGGTGGGTGTCAGGACCTCCAATGTTGGAGTCAGCTGAGGAAGCCCCCCGTTCTTGCTGCTATCTCCTGTTCCTTTGAAGAACCCCATCTCTCTCCAATCTTTTCCTCCACTATTCTTAATGTGCCCACTGTCTCCTGGAGAATGCCAACCTCCCTTCCGTAAGAATAGAGGGAAGAACGAACGTTGCAGAGAATTAGAACTCAGTTTGTAGAAAGTTAGGAGCACAGCGCAGAGAGTTTTTGTTTTTGTTTTTGTTTTGAGACAGTTTCTCTGTTGGCCAGGTTGGAATGCAATGGCGCGATCTCGGCTCACTGTAACCTCCACCTCCCAGGTTCAAGCGATTCTCCTGATTCTCCTGACTCAGCCTCCTGAGTAGCTGGGATTATAGGCACCTGCCACCACACCCAGCTAATTTTTTTTTTTTTTTTTGAGACGAAGTCTTGTTCTTGTCACCCAGGCTGGAGTATAGTGGCACCATCCCTGTTCACTGCAACCTCCGCCTCCCAGATTCAAGTGATTGTCCTGTCTCAGCCTCCTGAGTAGCTGGGACTACAGGTGCATGCCACCACGCCCAGCTAATTTTTTTTTGTACTTTTAGTAGAGACAGGTTTCACCATCTCATTCAGGGTGGTCTCAAACTCCTGACCTCAAGAGATCTGCTCCACCCACCCCCAAGTCTCCCGAAGTGCTGGGATTACAGGCGAGAGCCACCGTACCCGGCCTTCTTTAAATTATTTAAAAGTTGACAGGTGGCCAGGTGTGGTGGCTCTCACCTATAATCTCCCAGCACTTTGGGAGGCTGAGGCGGGTGGATCAAGAGATCGAGACCATCCTGGCCAACATGGTGAAACCCAACTCTACTAAAAACACAAAAATTAGCCGGGTGTGGTGGCACCCGCCTGTAGTCCCAGCTACTCAGGAGGCTGAGGCAGGAGAATCGCTTGAACCCGGGAGGTGGAGGTTGCAGTGAGCCAAGATTGTGCCACTGCACTCCAGCCTGGCAACAGTGCGAGACTCCATCTTAAAAAAAAAAAAAAAAAATTGACAGGCATAAATGTATTTATGGTACATTGCTCAGACAACTTTAATATAAACAACTTACAGAGAAAATTGAGTCTTTTGGGTAGGTGACTTGCCTGAGCTGACTTTGTGATAGGTTTTTTCTGTTTTTTTTGTTTTTGAAATAGAGTCTCACTCTGTCATGCAGGCTGGAGTGCAGTGGCCCCATCTTGGCTCACTGCAATCTCTGCCTCCTGGGTTCAAGGGGTCTTCCTGCCACAGCCTCCCCAGGTGCTGGGACTATAGGTGCCCACCACTATGCCTGGCTAACTTTTGTGTTTTTAGTACAGATGGGGTTTCAACAGGGTAGCCAGGTTGGTCTAGAACTCCTGACCTCAAGTGATCCACCTACCTCGGTCTCCTAAAGTGCTGGGATTACAGCTGTGAACCACCGCACCTAGCCTGTGATCAGTTTCAGATCAGCCTTGCTTACTCCACATTCCCTCTTATCTTCCTGGTAGCATTTTTGTTTTTTCTTGAGAAAGAGTTTTGCCCTTGTCGCCCAGGCTAGAGTGCAATGGTGTGATCTCGGCTCGCCACAACCTCCACCTCCCAGGTTCAAGTGATTCTGCCTCAGCCTCCCGAGTAGCTGGGATCATAGGCGCCCACCACCACATCTGGCTAATTTTTGCATTTGTTAGTTTTATTTTTAGTAGACAGGGTTTCACCATGTTGGGCAGGCTGGTCTTGAACTCCTGACCTCAGGTGATCCACCCACTTCGGCCTCCCAAAGTGCTGGGATTACAGGCATGAGCCACCGTACCTAGCCCACATTGACTTTTGATACAGCAAGTATTTCTTGCTATGGCTCTGTATAATAGAGGTGAGTAACTTGGTTGAAGGAATTGTTTGCCCTGTTCATCTCTCTAGACACGGCCAATGTCATTCCTGGCACACAATCTTTTTTTTTCTTGAGATGGAGTCTCACTCTGTTGCCCAGACTGGAGTGCAGTGGTGCAATCTTGGCCCACTGCAACCTCTGCTACCCAGGTTCAAGCGATTCTCCTGCCTCAGCCTCCCAAATAGCTGGGAGTACAGGTGTGTGCCACCACGCCCAGCTAATTTTTTGTATTTTAGTAGAGACAGGGTTTCACCGTGTTAGTCAGGATGGTCTGGATCTCCTAACCTCGTGATCCGTCCGCCTCAGCCTCCCAAAGTGCTGGGATGACAGGCGTGAGCCACTGTGCCCAGCCTAGCACACAATCTTGACAAAGAATTTCGGTGCGACTTGGGGTACTGTGGTGCCTGCTCTATCATCATGCTTCAGCAGGAAATGTGGGTGAATAGTGCCTGGTGGCATGGCAGGTAAAGAAATGTTTTGTTTTGTTTTTTTTTTTGAGACAGTCTTGCTCTGTCACCCAAGCTGGAGTGCAGTGGCGCAATCTCGGCTCACTGCAAGCTCCATCTCCCGGGTTCACGCCATTCTGCCTCAGCCTCCCCAGTAGCTGGGACTACAGGCGCCCGCCACACGCCCGGCTAATTTTTTGTATTTGTAGTAGAGACAGGGTTTCACCGTGTTAGCCAGGATGGTCTCGATCTCCTGACCTTATGATCCACCCGCCTTGGCCTCCCAAAGTGCTGGGATTACAGGCGTGAGCCACCGCGCCCAGCCGCGGGTAAAGAAATTTATGAAGACAATCGTAGGTAAAGGAAGGCAGATTTATTGGAGAAAGTAGGAAAAGACATTGGCAGAGAGACCCCAGCGGGCAGGTTGTCATGAGTAGCTCACTGCCAGGAGACCAAAGCTTCCTGCAGATTTTATAGAATAGGGCTTGGGCTGATTGATAATGTCAACAGGGGGTTTAACTTGCGGTCTTCTTTCAGCAGAAGTGTTTGATAAACTGAGGCGTTTCATGGCAAACAGGGAGTTTGTGAGCTCTGTGTGTGATCTGGCCAGGAAGGCCAAACATCTTGGGCCGTATCTCCTGGACCATAAAAGCAGACCTGGCCCAGTGCAGTGGTTCATGCCTGCAATCCCAGCACTTTGGGAGGCTGAGGTGGGTGGATCATCTGAGGTCAGCAGTTTTAGACTGGCCTGGCCAACATGGCGAAACCCCATCTCTACTAAAAATACAAAAATTAGCCTAGACGCAGTGGCACATGCCTGTAATTCCAGTTACTTGGGAAGCTGAGGCAGGAGAATCGCTTGAACCCGGGAGGCGGAGGTTGCAGTGAGCTGAGATTGCGCCACTGCACTCCAGCCTGGGCAACAGAGTGAGACTGTCTCAAACAGACCTATAGCTGACCTGTTTCCTCTTGTTTGTATGCCCTGAACCATGGAGGAAAGCTTATTTATTTATTTTATTGAGATGGAGTCTTGCTCTGTTGCCCAGGGTGGAGTGCAGTAGTGCGATCTCTTACTACAACCTCCATCTCCCAGGTTCAAGCAATTCTCGAGCCTCTTGGCCTCCCAAGTAGCTGAGATTACAGGCATGCGCCACCACGCCTGGCTAATTTTTGCATTTTTAGTAGAGATGGGGTTTCTGTGTTGGCCAGGCTGGTCTCGAACTCCTGAGCTCAAGTGATCCACCCCACCTCAGCCTCCCAAAGTTCTGGGATTATAGGCATGAGCCACCACACCTGGCCGGAAAACACATTTGTAGCTTATTTGCTTTATCTGATCCCGTGCCCCCCCTCCCCCCCGCCCCATCAGCCTGCCTCCTTTTCTCTAATTGGGACTCCACAGGAAATACACCTGATTTTGTGTCAATCTCACATGAGTTTGTATTTTGTAGCGTTTACAGAAACGAAAGGAAATGTCATCTGCCTGGGTAAAGAAGTCTTTAAAGGAAAAAAGCCAGGTCTGTACCATATCTTCCTGCAGGGAGCTTGGGATCAGATTTCTCTTTATAAACTTGAAGTCCTCTTAACTTTCCTATGTAACACAAAGCATTTATTTATGTATGTATGTATCGAGACGGAGTTTTGCTCTTGTTGCCCAGGCTGGAGTGCCGTGGCGTGATCTCGACTCACTGCAACCTCCGCCTCCCAGGTTCAAGCAATTCTCCTGCCTCAGCCTCCCGAGTAGCTGGGATTACAGGCATGCGCCACCATGACTGGCTAATTTTTTATTTTTAGTAGAGACAAGGTTTCTTCATGTTGGTCAGGCTGGTGTTGAACTCCCAATGTCAGGTGATCTGCCTGCCTCGACCTCCCAAAGGGCTGGGATTACAGGCATGAGCCACTGTGCCCGGCCAACACAAGGCATTTTGTTATTTTGGTTTTCCCTATGGGTAACTGATTGCATCCTCTCTCCCTTCCCTCCTCACCAATGATAAAGACAAAGACAATAGGTGCAGGTATATATTGAAGACGAAGTTCCGGGAGATGTGGAAGAGCTGGCCTGGAGATAGCAAAGAGGTCCAGGTTATGGCTGAGAGATACAAGATGCTGATCCCATTCAGCAACCCCAGGGTGCTTCCCGGGCCCTTCTCATACACGGTGGTGCTGTATGGTCCTGCAGGCCTTGGGAAAACCACGCTGGCCCAGAAACTAATGCTAGACTGGGCAGAGGACAACCTCATCCACAAATTCAAATATGCGTTCTACCTCAGCTGCAGGGAGCTCAGCCGCCTGGGCCCGTGCAGTTTTGCAGAGCTGGTCTTCAGGGACTGGCCTGAATTGCAGGATGACATTCCACACATCCTAGCCCAAGCACGGAAAATCTTGTTCGTGATTGACGGCTTTGATGAGCTGGGAGCCGCACCTGGGGCGCTGATCGAGGACATCTGCGGGGACTGGGAGAAGAAGAAGCCGGTGCCCGTCCTCCTGGGGAGTTTGCTGAACAGGGTGATGTTACCCAAGGCCGCCCTGCTGGTCACCACGCGGCCCAGGGCCCTGAGGGACCTCCGGATCCTGGCGGAGGAGCCGATCTACATAAGGGTGGAGGGCTTCCTGGAGGAGGACAGGAGGGCCTATTTCCTGAGACACTTTGGAGACGAGGACCAAGCCATGCGTGCCTTTGAGCTAATGAGGAGCAACGCGGCCCTGTTCCAGCTGGGCTCGGCCCCCGCGGTGTGCTGGATCGTGTGCACGACTCTGAAGCTGCAGATGGAGAAGGGGGAGGACCCGGTCCCCACCTGCCTCACCCGCACGGGGCTGTTCCTGCGTTTCCTCTGCAGCCGGTTCCCGCAGGGCGCACAGCTGCGGGGCGCGCTGCGGACGCTGAGCCTCCTGGCCGCGCAGGGCCTGTGGGCGCAGACGTCCGTGCTTCACCGAGAGGATCTGGAAAGGCTCGGGGTGCAGGAGTCCGACCTCCGTCTGTTCCTGGACGGAGACATCCTCCGCCAGGACAGAGTCTCCAAAGGCTGCTACTCCTTCATCCACCTCAGCTTCCAGCAGTTTCTCACTGCCCTGTTCTACACCCTGGAGAAGGAGGAGGAAGAGGATAGGGACGGCCACACCTGGGACATTGGGGACGTACAGAAGCTGCTTTCCGGAGTAGAAAGACTCAGGAACCCCGACCTGATCCAAGCAGGCTACTACTCCTTTGGCCTCGCTAACGAGAAGAGAGCCAAGGAGTTGGAGGCCACTTTTGGCTGCCGGATGTCACCGGACATCAAACAGGAATTGCTGCGATGCGACATAAGTTGTAAGGGTGGACATTCAACGGTGACAGACCTGCAGGAGCTCCTCGGCTGTCTGTACGAGTCTCAGGAGGAGGAGCTGGTGAAGGAGGTGATGGCTCAGTTCAAAGAAATATCCCTGCACTTAAATGCAGTAGACGTTGTGCCATCTTCATTCTGCGTCAAGCACTGTCGAAACCTGCAGAAAATGTCACTGCAGGTAATAAAGGAGAATCTCCCGGAGAATGTCACTGCGTCTGAATCAGACGCCGAGGTTGAGAGGTGAGAACCGTTTCACTCTACCAGTCGTTCCATCTTTAGCCTCATCCCATGCCCCCTTAGGAAGAGGCCAGAGCCTCCTATGCACTGTGGCTTAGGGTCAGGAATTCCCTCTTGTTGGACTCTTTGTTTGTTTTTGTTTTGAGATGGAGTCTTGCTCTGTCGCTCAGGCTGGAGCGCAGTGGCGCGATCTTGGCTCCCTGCAACCTCCGCCTCCCGGGTTCAAGTGATTCTTCTGCCTCAGCCTCCTGAGTAGCTGGGACTACAGGCGCCTGCCACCTTGCCCGGCTAATTTTTATATTTTCATTAGAGACGGGATCTCAGCATGTTGGCCAGTCTGGTCTTGAACTCCGCCTGACCTCAGGTGATCCACCTGCCTCAGCCTCCAAAGTGGGATTACAGGCATGATTCACCATGCCCGGCCCAAATATATTTTTTTAAGACAGGGTCTTGCTGTGTTGCTCAGGCTGGAGTACAGTGGTGAAATCAGCTCACTGCATCCTCAAACTTCTGGGTTCAAGTGATGTTCCTGAGTACCTGGGATGACAGGTATTAAGTGTGCACCATCATGTCCAGCTAACTTAAGTGGGGGTTTTTTTTTGTGTTTTTTTTTTTTTTTTTTTTTTTGGAAAGACAAAATCTCACTATGTTGTCCAGGCTGGTCTTGAACTCCCAAAGCACTGAGATTACAGGCATGAGTTACCACACGCCCTGCCTGAATATTTCTTATTGATATGTATAGATATGTATATTCCCAATCTTTTTTTTTTTTTTTGAGACGGAGTTTCACTCTTTTTCCCAGGTCGGAGTGAAGTGGCTCGATCTCGGCTCACTGCAACCTCCGCCCCACCAGGTTCAATGATTCTCCTGCCTCAGCCTCATGAGTAGCTGGGATTACAGCCACCCACGACCATGCCCAGCTAATTTTTGTACTTTTAGTAGAGACGGGGTTTCACCATGTTGGCCAGGCAGGTCTCGAACTCCCGACCTCAGGTGATCCACCCGCCTCAGCCTCACAAAGTGCTAGGATTATAGGCGTGAGTCACCGTGCCCGGTCTATATTCTCTATCTTTTATCAATGATGTGCTTAGCATTTTAACTTATTTTTACCCTCTATTGGATTTTTGTCTAAGAAGAATAGGTTCTTTCTCCTGTGATGCTTCTTGGGTGTTGAGTTGTCTGATGGTGGTGCTAATAAGTGATTACATGGTCCAGCTTTCAATTGTACTCATTTGTCAGGGGTATATGCCCAGAGAAACCCTAAATACTTCAGCCGTGATGGACACACATTTGGTGTAACCCTTTCTTCTCTTCCCTATAGATCCCAGGATGATCAGCACATGCTTCCTTTCTGGACGGACCTTTGTTCCATATTTGGATCAAATAAGGATCTGATGGGTCTAGCAATCAATGATAGCTTTCTCAGTGCCTCCCTAGTAAGGATCCTGTGTGAACAAATAGCCTCTGACACCTGTCATCTCCAGAGAGTGGTGTAAGTAGAAACTAATTCATGAACTCAAATCCTTAGGGTATGAAAATGGTACAATGTTAACATCGGAGCAATATTCAGATTCCTGTACTAGACTCTTAAGTGCTCGAGACACAGGGAATTGAGAGAGTCCTGTCCTTAAATTTATTTTGTGGGATAATCGTATAAAGTAATTTCTAGGGGCTGGGCATGGTGGTTCACACTTGTAATTCCAACACTTCGGGAGGCCGAGGCAGACAGATCACTTGAGGTCAGGAGTTCGAGACCAGCCTGGCCAACGTGACAAAACCCTGCCTCTACTAAAAATACAAAAATTATCCAGGCGTGGTGGCAGGCACCTGTAATATCAGCTACTTGGGAGGCTGAGGCAGGAGAATTACTTGAACCCAGGAGGCGGAGGTTGCAGTGAACCAAGATCCTGCCACTGGACTCCAGTCTGAGTGACAGAGCGAGACTGCGTCTCAAAAAAAAAAAAAAAAAAAAAGAAAAAGAAAAAAAGGGCCGGGCACAATGGCTCACGCCTGTAGTCCCAGCACTTTGGGGGCCCAAGGTGGGGGGATCACTTGAGGTCAGGAGTTCAAGACCAGCCTGGCCAAGATGGTGCAAGACCCTGTCTCTACGAAAAATACAAAAATTTGCCAGGTGTCGTGGCAGGTGCCTATAATCCCAGCTACTCCGGATGCTGAGGGTAGGAGTCGCTTGAATCCGGGAGGCAGAGTTTGCTTTGCAGTGAGCCGAGATCGCGCCACTGCACTCCAGCCTGGGCAACAGAGTGAGACTCCATCTCAAAGAAAAAAAAAATCTGTAAAGATGGACAAAAATTTAAACATGGAAAAAATAGTTCCTAAAGTTTAAATATATCGAGCCCCTGGTTTCCATTTAAGTACGATACAGGTGTACACACTAAAGATTTCACTTTCGTTCTCTTTTCCCTAGGTTCAAAAACATTTCCCCAGCTGATGCTCATCGGAACCTCTGCCTAGCTCTTCGAGGTCACAAGACTGTAACGTATCTGACCCTTCAAGGCAATGACCAGGATGATATGTTTCCCGCATTGTGTGAGGTCTTGAGACATCCAGAATGTAACCTGCGATATCTCGGGTATATCTCTTAATCATTAAAATCCTTCATCATACAAACATAAGCTACCACAAGCTTATGTGGCAATTTTGTGTAAATAAGAAAAAGTTCGTTATTCTGACTAGAAACAGTACTAAGGGCAGATGACCCAGGATGCAGCATGGGCTGAACTTGAGTTTCTACTTGCCTTGAACAGTAAACACCCTGGACAACCATACGTGAGGACCCTGAATCCAAAGAAACTCCCAGAATCTTTATCATCTTTTTTTTTTTTTTTATGAAGTCTTGCTCTGTTGCCCAGGCCAAAGTGCAATGGCACGATCTTGGCTCACTGCAACCTCTGTCTCCTGGGTTCAAGTAATTCTGCTGCCTCAGCCTCCCAAGTTGCTGGGATTACAGGCACCCGCCACCACGCCCGGCTAATTTTTGTGCATTTAGTGGAGCTGGTTTCGCCACATTGCCAGGCTGGTCTCGAACTCATGACCTCAGGTGACCTGCCCTCCTCAGGCTCCCAAAGTGCTGGGATTATAGGCATGAGCCACCATGCCCAGCCAGAGTCCTTATGTTTTGGTTTTGGTTTTGGTTTTTTCTTTTTCTTTTTTCTTTTTGAGATGGAGTCTCGCTCTGTCACCCAGGCTGGAGTGCGTTGGTATGATCTCAGGTCACTGCAGCCTCCACCTCCCAGGTTCAAGTGATTCTCCTGCCTCAGCCTCCTGAGTAGCTGGGATTACAGGTGCACACCACCACACCTGGTTAATTTTTGTATTATTAGTAGAGATGGAGTTTTACCACATTGGCCAGGCTGGTCTCGAACTCATGACCTCAGGTGATCTACCCCCCCACCCCCACCCCACCCCGCCGTCGGCCTCCCAAAGTGAGGCATGAGCCACCGTGCCCAGCCCAGAATCTTTATCTTCTATCAGAGATCATTCACTCATGGTTCATGCTTCTCCTGTATGATGATTCAGAATACCAGCTATTGACATTTTTCAAGCAAGAACCCTTCAGGAACATCAAGTTGCCCCTTTTCTGTTAGTCCTCTGGTTTGAGAGCTCTCCCCTTGGGAAGCTGTCCAGTGGCTGCCCAGGCGATGAGAACCTACATGCATCATGGGGTTCCATGAAGCCTCACTTGGCCACACTGGTGTAGTAGGTGGTCATTGGCCTCAAATTATTGCCCTGGGCCAGGCGCAGTGGCTCACGCCTGGGAGGCCGAGGTGGGTGGATCACTTGAGGTCAGGAGTTCAAGACCGGCCTGGTCAACATGGTGAAACTCTGTCTCTACTAATAATACAAAAATTAGCTGGGCATGTTGGCGCACGCCTGTAGTCCCAGCTACTCAGGAGGCTGAGGCAGGAGCATCATTTGAACCTGAGAGGCGGAGGTTGCAGTGAGCTGAGATCACACCACCGCACTCCAGTCTGGGCAACAGTGTGAGACTGTCTCAAAAAAAAAAAAAAAAATCTTGGCTGGGTGCGGTAGCTCATGCCTGTAATCCCAGCACTTTGGGAGGCCAAGGCAGGTGGATCACAAGGTCAGGAGTTCAAGACCAGCCTGGCCAACATGGTGAAACCCCACGTCTACTAAAAATACAAAAACATTAGCTGGGCATGGTGGCGCGTGCCTGTAATCCCAGCTACTCATGGAGGCTGATGCAAGAGAATTGCTTGAACCTAGGAGGCAGAGGTAGCAGTGAGCCAAGATCACGCCATTGCACTCCAGCCTGGGCAACAGAGCAAAACTCCATCTCGAGGACAGAAAAAAAATTGATTGCTCTGGCTCTACTGATACAATCTTAGGCTGCTTAATGGGATCTTAGTTGAATAGGATGCTGTACATCTTACAGGTATTGGAAGGTTGAATGAAACCAAGCCCATGCATTCAATAGTGGCTGCTATCATTACTAACCGTTGCAATTACCCTCTTTTCTTTTTGCCTGAGAATAATGGGATGCAGGGTGAGGGGGAATATTGGGTGAATTAAAGATTTGGGTCACTAATTTCTTTCTTTTTTTCTCAAGATATAGTCTTGCTCTGTCTCCTAGGCTGGAGTGCAGTGCCACAATCTTGGTTCACTGCAACCTCTGCCTCCCGGGTTCAAGTGATTCTTCTCCGTCAACCTCCCAAGTAGCTGGGATTACAGGCACCCACCTGTATTTTTGTATTTCTAGTATTTTGTATTTCTAGTAGAGACAGGGTTACGCCATGCTGGTGGCCAGGGTGGTCTCAAACTCCTGACCTCGGGCAATCCACCACACCCAGCTAATTTTTGGTATATTTAGTAGAGCCGGGGTTTCACCGTGTTGGCTGGGCTGGTCTCGAACTCCTGACCTCAAGTGACATCCATCTTCCAAAATGCTGGGATTACAGCCATGTGCCACCACGCCCAGCTAATTCTTGTATTTTTAGGAGAAATGGGGTTTCATCATGTTGTTCCGGCTGGTCTTAAACTCCTGGCCTCATGATCCACCTGCCTTGGCCTGCCAAAGTCCTGGGATTACAGGCATGAGCCACTGTGCCCAGCCACTCATTTCTTATGAATTTATTCTAACACATTTTCCGGATGAACAGGGCACCTTGAAACATAGGTTAGTGGGCTGGGTATGGTGGCTCCTGCCTGTAATCCCAGTACTTTGGGAGGCCTAGGCTGGTGTATCGCTTGAAGTCAGGAGTTTTTTGTTTTGAGACGGAGTCTTGCTCTGTCGCCCAGGCTAGAGTGCAGTGGAGTGATCTCGGCTTACTGCAACCTCCGCCTCCTGGGTTCAAGTGATTCTCTTGCCTCAGCCTCCTGAGTAGCTGGGACTACAGGCACGTGTCGCCACGCCCATCTAACTTTTGTATGTTTAGTAGAGCCGGGGTTTCACCATGTTGGCCAGGATGGTCTCAAACTCCTGACCTCCTGATCTGCCCACCTCGGCCTCCCAAAGTGCTGGGATTACAGGCATGAGCCATTGCCCCGGCCAAAGTTAGGAGTTTGAGACCAGCCTGGCCAACATGGTAAAACCCCATCTCTACTAAAAAATACAAAAATTAGCCAGGCAAGATGGCATTTGCCTGTAATCCCAGCTACTCAGGAGGCTGAGGCGGGAGAATCTCTTGAATCTGGGAGGCAGAGGTTGCTGTGAGCTGAGATCGCGCCACTACACTCCAGCCAGGGCGACAGAGCATAAATAACTCCCTTTCAAAAAACCAAACAATGAAACATAGGTTAGCGGAGTCTGCATCCAACATTAGAGTCAGATTGACTAAGTTCTGTATTTCCAGCTGATTCCTGGGCGATGTTGGTGCCACTGGTCTGACCACCCTTTGACAACTGCTGCTCCAGATAATTCAAGTCGGGGTATAACACAACCAGTGAGATGTAAACCAAAGACGATTCCACGGTTAGATTCTCAAGAATGACTTGTTCTGCCGGGCGCGGTGGCTCACGCCTGTCATCCCAGCACTCTGGGAGGCCGAGGTGGGCAGATCACCTGAGATTGGGAGTTTGAGACCAGCCTGACCAACATGGAGAGACCCCCACCTCTACTGAAAATACAAAATTAGCTGGGCATGTTGGTGCATGGTGCATGCCTGCAGTCCCAGCTACTCGGGAGGCTGAGGCAGGAGAATCACTTGAACCCAGGAGGCGGAGGTTGCTGTGAGCCGAGATTGCGCCACCTGGGCAACAAGAGTGAGACTCAGTCTCAAAAAAAAAAAAAAAATGACGTGGTCCTATTTCTCCCACAGGTTGGTGTCTTGTTCCGCTACCACTCAGCAGTGGGCTGATCTCTCCTTGGCCCTTGAAGTCAACCAGTCCCTGACGTGCGTAAACCTCTCCGACAATGAGCTTCTGGATGAGGGTGCTAAGTTGCTGTACACAACTTTGAGACACCCCAAGTGCTTTCTGCAGAGGTTGTCGTAAGTCTCTCCTCTCTTACAGAGCAGCTGTGCTTTCGATCTGGGGCCACAGACGAGCAATGGTCATGCCTGACTTGGCTGTATGGAACCTCTCGCTGATGTGAACACCTGTTCCCATGTTTAGATCCAGGCCGATGGCCTGTGAATTTTGTTCTTCTCTCATTCCTATTCCTTCATAGGATCACCAGTGCATGATAGAAGGTGGGGAGTTCACAAGAAGGGGCTTTTGGATGCTGGCACTTGTGGAGCTAGCCGGGAAGGTTGAAGTTGGACCTGTCAACCGTGTTGCCATTTGTGATTCTTTTGTAGGTTGGAAAACTGTCACCTTACAGAAGCCAATTGCAAGGACCTTGCTGCTGTGTTGGTTGTCAGCCGGGAGCTGACACACCTGTGCTTGGCCAAGAACCCCATTGGGAATACAGGGGTGAAGTTTCTGTGTGAGGGCTTGAGGTACCCCGAGTGTAAACTGCAGACCTTGGTGTAAGTCCGTGCTGGCTGCCTGTGTGCGTGGGTGTATATGCACACGCCCCCCACCTCCGGGTTTGAGTAGGGTGGTTATGAGAACACTTAATTCCTCTAAAAGTTCCAAGCATGATGCTAATGACAACTGGTAAGACCTGGGTAGATGATGGTAGGAAAAAAGTATAAGTAGTAGTAGAGTAGTAGTAATATTCTATAGGGATTTGGGGAATGTAGCTGGTTTTCGGGTTTTTTTTTTCCTCTTTATGTATGTATGTATTTTAGAGATGGGATCTCGCCGTGTTGCCTAGGCTGGTCTCAAACTCCTGAGCTCAAGAGATCTGCCTGCCTTGGCCTCCCAAAGTGCTAGAATTACAGGCATGAGCCATGTCACCCCATGCTGTGTTTTCTCTTAATCTGTGTTCTTAGAACTATAACTGTAACATAAATTGCATGCAATTGGTTGTAAATGGAATTCATTTACTTATTTTTTAATGAATGATTTGCAAATCAGGTAGTCTTCTGGGCCAGTGTACGCTCAGACTCCCAATGGAAGCTATTGGAAGCTACATGCTCAATGTGATCCTCCTTTTAATACTAAAATCACAGGACACGTGGCCTGGCATAGTGGCTCACGCCTATAATCCCATCACCTTGGGAGGCCGAAGCAAGGCAGATCCCTTGAGGGCAGGAGTTCAAGACCAGCCTGCCCAACATGGTGAAACATTGTCTCTCTACTAAAAATACAAAAATTAGTCACGCATGGTGGGACATGCCTGTAATCCCAGTTACTCAGGAGGCTAAGGCAGGAGAATCACTTGAACTTCGGAGGTGGAGGTTGCAGTGAGCTGAGATGGCACCACTGAAGTCCAGTCTGGCCAATAGAGCAAGACTCTCTCAAAAAAAAAAAATTATAGGACAAATCTTTAGAAAGGAATTGGGGCCTGGCATGGTGGCTCATGCCTGTAATCTCAGCACTTTAGGAGGCGGGCAGAACACCTGAGGTCAGGAGTTTGAGACCAGCCTGGCTGATGCAGTGAAACCCTGTCTCTACTAAAAATACAAAAATTAGCTAGGCGTGGTGGTATGGTCCTGTAATCCCAGCTACTTGGGAGGCTGAGGCAGGAGAATCGCTTGAAGTCGGGAGGTTGCAGTGAGCCGAGATCGTGCCAGCCTGGGTGACAGAACGAGATTGTCTCAAAAAAAAAAAAAAATTGTATCTGCACTGATGGTTTCTGTTCAGAGATTCGATTTTATGTTAACATCTCTGGTATTTTTTTTTTTTTTTTTTAAGATGGAGTTTTACTCTTGCCCACGCTGGCAATGGCATGATCTAGGCTCACTGCAACCTCCGGCTTCAAGGAGGTTGATTCTCCTGCCTCAGCCTCCTGAGTAGCTGGGATTACAGGCACTCACCACCACGCCGGGCTAATTTTTATATTTTTAGTAGAGATGGGATTTCACCATGTTGGCCAGGTTGGTCTCGAACTGACCTCATGATCCGCCCGCCTCAGCCTTCCAAAGTGCTAGGATTTACAGGCATGAGCCACTGCGTCCAGCCATACATATCTCTGGTATTCTTTGTCTCTAACATCACCTCCAACAGTTAGGAACTGTCCTCTTCCTATGAAGTAACTAATCTAGGATATGTACCTGGCATCTGAAAACTACCCACTTAAATTTAATGACATATTCAGTTCATGGCTGGAGACGATGAGTAGAAGGAAAGGATTCTTCCCACACCCACTATATCTAGGCCCTGAAACATTAAAAAAGAAGTCCCACAAGCAGTGAGATGTCACCGACTCACTAACTGTATCTTCAAATGAATGTCTAGTTTTTTTGGTTGTGTGTGTGTGTGGTGTGTGGTGTGTGTGGTATTTTTTTGGGGGGGGGGGGGTTTTCTTTTTTTTTTTTTTTTGGTTTTTTTTTTTTGATAGTCTTGCTCTGTCGCCCAGGCTGGAATGCAGTGGCTCCATCTCAGCTCACTGCAACCTCCACCTCCTGAGTTCAGGTGTGATTCTCCTGCCTCAGCCTCCCAGGGATTAAGGTGCATGCCACCACGCCCAGCTAACTTCTTTATTTTTAGTAGAGACGAGTTTTCACCATGTTGGTCAAGCTGGTCTCGAATTCCTGACCTCAGGTGATCCACCCACCTCAGCCTCCCAAAGTGCTGGGATTACAGGTGTGAGCCACCGTGCCGGCCCCCTCAATTCAACTTTTTGATCCATGCCCCTATTTTGCTAAGTTGTCAACTTCCCTTTAGTCTTATGTGGGTTTTCCTCCATTACAGTCATGGAAGTTTCTAGAAGGCCGGGTAGGGTCTTTGAGAGGCCGAGGCAGGTGGATCATGAGGTCAGGAGTTCAAGACCAGCCTGGCCAACATGGTGAAACCCTGTCTTTACTAAAAATACAAAAATTAGCCAGGCGTGGTGTCGGAGCCTGTAATCCCAGCTTACTTGGGAGGGTGAGGCAGAGAATTGCTTGAACCTGGGAGGCGGAAGTTGCAGTGAGCTGAGATTGTGCCACTGTACTCCAGCCTGGGTGTCAGAGCGAGACTGTCTCAAAAAAAAAAAAAAAAAAGTTTCTATACATTCATAAAGTTTCAAGATTTGGGGGTGTGTTTTCACTTCTCCATCGTCATGGACTCCAATCTGCCATCTATTTCCAAGGCCCTTCCAGGTCCTGTGTCCCTCAGCTAGTGGTATGCTTCACTTGGGACCCAGAGATACATGGGCATTATAGTTCAAATTATAATTAAGTTTAGAACTCTATTGAGACAGAAGAAAGAAAACAGAGCTAAGGTGAAATATCTCTGATAATCTGTGTTGGTTAATATCTAGGATCCTAGTACCAGATATGTTGGAGTGTGAGCTGGTGTCTTCTGCCTGTAAGACACTACCTCTCTAGCAACTGAATTTAGCAAATACAATCGTAATCCCAGCATGTTAGGGAGGCCAGGGTGGGCAGATCATCTGAGGTCGGGAGTTCAAGACCAGCCTGGCCAACATGGGGAAACCCTGTCTCTACTAAAAATACAAAACTTAGCTGGGTGTGGTGGCACGCGCATGTGTGTACACACACACACCCCCCTGTAATCCCAGCTACTCGGAAGGCTGGGGCACAAGAATCGCGTGAAACCAGGAGGCGGAGGTTGAAGTGAGCCACCGTGCCAGCTGAGAATCCTTTTTACTTCTCCAACTTCTGTTGGCCACCTGCATTCCTTGGCTTGTGGCCCTTCCTCCAACTTCGGCAGAGCATCTTCAAACGTTGCCCTGGCTCCCTTATCACGTCACCTCCTGCTGGCTTTGACTCTCAGCTCCCTCTTATGAGGATCCCTGTGATTGCTGGACCTACCCAAATAAACCAGGATATAAACCATCTTAAGATGCTCAGTCACCTCTACGAGGTCCCTTTTGCTCGCAGGTGCCAGGAGTTGGGACTTGGACATCTTTAGGGGAGGCCATTCTTCTGTCCACCACACCACCCCATGATTCCATTTCCATGTCACCACTGTCTCTAAGTGTGTCTAACCCACGGCTCAAGAGTCAAAGGTGCATCACAGCAGTGAGAACTCACAGGTTCGGGTTTGCTTTCTTCCTGTGGTTGATTTCTAGGCTTTGGAACTGCGACATAACTAGCGATGGCTGCTGCGATCTCACAAAGCTTCTCCAAGAAAAATCAAGCCTGTTGTGTTTGGATCTGGGGCTGAATCACATAGGAGTTAAGGGAATGAAGTTCCTGTGTGAGGCTTTGAGGAAACCACTGTGCAACTTGAGATGTCTGTGGTGAGTTAACTTATAAGTTCAACTTCCTATACTTACACCTTACTGAATCTGTGGCTAGTGTAAAATAATCAGTGAAGCCGACTTCCCAAGTTATATAATTGAGAGGACCTTTATAGAGTCGATCGAGCATTTACTAGGATGGTTAAAGGAATAAGTTCTAGTCTATGTCTAAGTTTTTGTTTTTTTTTTTCTTGAAGTTTTGCTCTTGTCACATAGGCTGGAGTGCAGTGGCGTGATCTTGGCTCACTGCAACCTCCGCCTCCCAGGTTCAAGCAATTCTCTTGCTTCAGCTTCCCGAGTAGCTGGGATTACAGGCGCCCGCCACCATGCCCAGCTAATTCTTGTATTTTTAGTAGAGACAGGGTTTCGCCATGTTGAAGGTTCATCTCAAACTCCTGACCTCAGGTGATCCGCCCATCTCGGCCTCCCAAAGTGCTGGGATTACAGGCGTGAGCCACTGCGCCAGGCCCTATGTCTAAGTTCTAGTCTGTGTCATGCAAAGAACACCTGTGAAATTTTAAGGATACAGTGCCTCAAGCCATTCAGCCAAAAGCCACTGCCCAGCACCCCACATTCAGAGAGGTGGGAATTGGGCCAGGCACAGTGGCTCATACCTGTAATCCCAGCACTTCGGGAGGCCGAAGCGGGCGGATCACTTAAGGTCAGGAGCTCAAGACCAGCCTGGCCAACTTGAAACTCCATCTCTACTAAAATATAAAAATTAGCCGAGCATAGTAGTGGGTGCCTCTTTTTTTTTTTTTTTTTTTTTTGAGATAGTTTCACTCTTGTTGCCCAGGCTGTAGTGTAATGGCGCGATCTCAGCTCACTGCAACCTCCACCTCCTGGGTTCAAGTGATTCTCCTGCCTTAGCCTCCCACATAGCTGCAAATAAACAGGCATGTGCCACCATGCCTGGCTAATTTTGTATTTTTAGTATAGACGGGGTTTCTCCATGTTGGTCAGGCTGGTCTCGACCTCCGGACCTCAGGTGAGAGCCACCGTGCCCAGCCAGTAGGTGCCTTTAATCCCAGCTACTTGGGAGGCTGAGGCAGGAGAATCACTTGAACCCTGGAGGCAGAGGTTGCAGTGAGCTGAGATCCTGTCACTACACTCCATCCTGGGCTACAAGAGCAAGACTCCATCTCAGGAAAAAATAAAAAAGAGGTAGGAATTAGATATCGTGCCAGAAAATGCTGGCTCTATCAGCAGGTGAGTGGTCTCAACTTGGCTATCTTACAAATACCTTGTGAGTTAGCTACAATCAGATGCACTTGAACCTGGAATCCTATCTGGGAGGCAATCTTAAAAGAATTTGACTCGGGATGGGCAAGGTGGCTCATGCCTGTAATCCTGGCATTTTGGGAGTCCAAGGCAGGTAGATTGCTTGAGGCCAAGAATTTAAAAACAGCCTGGCCAACACAATGAAGCCCTGTCTCTACTGAAAGTACAAAAATCCGCTGAGCATGGCTGTGTACCTCTGCTCCCAGTTACTCAGGAGGCTGAGGTGGGAGGATCACTTGAGCCTGGGAGGAAGAAGTTACAGCGAATTGAGATCACGTCACCTCACTCCAGCCTGGGTGACAGTGAGATCCTGTCTCAAAAAAAAAAAAAAAACAAAAAAAACAAAGGCGCCTTTTTAATCACTCACTGACACGTGTAGAGGAGCAAAAAGTTTGAGTTGCTGGTTGGCCCAGGAGGTCAAGGCTGCAGTGAGCCAAGATGGCGTTACCACACTCCAGCCTGGGCAACCGAGTGAGACCGTGTTTCAAAAAATAAAGTGGCAGGGTGCAGTGGCTCATGCCTGTAATTCCAGCACTTTGGGAGGCCGAGGCAGGTGGATCACCTAAGGTCAGGAGTTCGTAGACCAGCCTGTCTCTACTAAAGAGACAGGTGAAACCCTGTCTCTCTAAAACCACAAAAATCAGGCAGGCATGGTGGCACATAGCTATAATCTCATCTACTTGGAGGCACGAGAACTGCTTGAATCCAGGAGGCAGAGGCTACAGTGAGCCGAGATCATGCCACAGCACTCCAGCCCTGGCGAGAGAGCAAGACTGTCTCAAAGAATAACTTCAAAGATGGAAGTTATTTAACCTCTCTGCTCAAAAGCCTCAGTGCTTCCCTATGTCAATCCAGGTAAAATCCTATATTGACGATGGCTTCAGGGTCTTCTGTGAGCTGGCCACTGCTTACCTATGACCTCATCTTGACAATCCTCCCTGTCTCACTCATGCCCGCTGCCTGGATGTTCTATTTTACGTGTCAGTCACATGTATCTTCAGGGCCTCTGCACAAGCTATTTCTCTGCCTGGAGAACTCCCCCCCGAGCTCTATGACTCGGTCTCTTCACCCCCTCACCTCCAACCATTGTAGCCAGAACCCCCAGTTATTCCCTGTACCCCTTGCCCTTCAGAACCCCTCATCGCCTCCATATTTTCCTGTTAGCAGATGAGCCCTGAGGGCGGAGACGTTTTGTTTGTTTTTTGAGACCGGAGTCTCACTCTGTCACCCAGGCTGGAGTGCAATGGCGCGATCTCGGCTCACTGCAACCTCCGCCTCCTGGGTTCAAGCGATTCTCCTGCCCCAGCCTCCTGAGTAGCTGGGATTACAGGTGCCTGTCACCACGCCCAGCTAACTTCTGTATATTTAGTAGAGACACGGTTTTACCATGTTAGGTTGGTCTTGAACTCCTTGACCTCAGGTGATCCATCCACCTCGGCCTCCCAAAGTGCTGGGATTACAGGCGTGAACCACCGTGCCCGGCCTGAGACTTCTGTTGGTCATGCAGATCCCCAACACACGAGGGTGGGCTTGGCTTGCCGGAGGGCATCGATCAGCACTGGCTGCATTAACGTGTTGATTTCTGTGTTTCCCCAGGTTGTGGGGATGTTCCATCCCTCCGTTCAGTTGTGAAGACCTCTGCTCTGCCCTCAGCTGCAACCAGAGCCTCGTCACTCTGGACCTGGGTCAGAATCCCTTGGGGTCTAGTGGAGTGAAGATGCTGTTTGAAACCTTGACATGTTCCAGTGGCACCCTCCGGACACTCAGGTATGATCCATTTACTTCCCCATCAGGCTTTCTCCAGAGTGGTAGGTTTAGGGGAAGCATAATGACATGGACCTGCTGTAGGAGACTGATCTGGTAGCTGGATTACAGGTTCCCGCCATCACACCCAGCCAATTTCTGTATTTCACTTGGAGAAACGGGGTTTCACCATGTTGGTCAGGCTGGTCTCAAACTCCTGACCTCAGGTGATCCGCCCGCCTCGGCCTCCCAAAGTGCTGGGATTACAGGCGTGAGCAACCGCACCCGGCCACCTTTTTTTTTTTTTTCCTTTGAGGCAAGAACTCACTATGTTCCCCAGGCTGGAGTCCAGCAGCACAATGATGGCTCGCTGCAGGCTCGCTCCAGCTCCTGGGCTCAAGCAATCCTGCCTCAGTTCCTGAGTAGGTAGGTTTATAAGCATGAACCATTGCACCCAGCCACGGCTGCCGTCTACCTGCTCATGATAGCCATTTGTCACTGGGCTGTGTTTTGTTTGTTGCATTTTGTCAGGGTTTTGGGGTTTTGTTTTGTTTTTTCTTTCTTTTTTTTTTTTTTTTTCTGAGATGGAGTCTCACTCTGTTGCCCAGGCTGGGGTGCAGTGGTTGCTAACTGCAACCTCCACCTCCCAGGTTCCAGCTATTCTCATGCTTCAGCCTCCCAAGTAGCTGGGATTACAGGCATGCACCACCACACCTAGGTAATTTTTGTATTTTTAGTAGAGACAGGGTTTTGCCATGTTGGCCAGGGTGGTCTCAAACTCCTGACCTCCGTGATTTGCCCACCTCAGCATCCCAAAGTGCTGGGATTACAGGCATGAGCCACCGCACCCGGCCTGAGTTGTATTTTGATACCATGGCATCAAAGAACCAAGAAGCCCCTTCCTAGGAATGTGGGAACTTCAGAAATTCTCACAAGCAATATACTCTACTGCTGGCTTAAAATAATCTTTATGTAGAAGAAACATAGATTACTTGTTTATTTAACATGAAACTCAGCCTAAGATACTTTGTAAGTCAAAAGACATATGGACACTAAGGGTTTTTTTAAGCTTTAAGTTTGTTTGTTTGTTTATTTATTATTTATTTTGGAGACAGTTTTACTCTTTTTTTTGGGGTGCATCTTTTTTCTTTTTTTTTTTTTTTTTTCCTTTTTTTTTTTTTTTTTTTTTATTGATCATTCTTGGGTGTTTCTCACAGAGGGGGATTTGGCAGGGTCATAGGACAATAGTGGAGGGAAGGTCAGCAGATAAACAAGTGAACAAAGGTCTCTGGTTTTCCTAGGCAGAGGACCCTGCGGCCTTCCGCAGCGTTTGTGTCCCTGGGTACTTGAGATTAGGGAGTGGTGATGACTCTTAACGAGCGTGCTGCCTTCAGGATCTGTTTAACAAAGCATATCTTGCACCGCCCTTAATCCGTTTAACTCTGAGTGGACACAGCACATGTTTCAGAGAGCACGGGGTTGGGGGTAAGGTCACAGATCAACAGGATCCCAAGGCAGAAGAATTTTTCTTAGTACAGAACAAAATGGGGGGCTGACCCCCCCACCTCCCTCCCGGACAGGGCGGCTGGCCGGTTAGAGGGGCTCCTCACTTCCCATTAGGGGCGGCCGGGCAGAGGCGCCCCTCACCTCCCGGACAGGGCGGCTGGCTGGGCGGGGGGCTGACCCCCCCACCTCCCCGCCCGGCCAGAGTTTTACTCTTGTTGTCCAGCCTGGAGCGCAATGGCGCTATCTCGGCTTACTGCAACCTCCGCCTCCCGGGTTCAAGAGGTTCTCCTCCCTCAGCCTCCCAAGTAGCTGGGACTACAGGCATGTGCCACCACACCTGGCTAATCTTGTATTTTTAATAGAGACAGGGTTTCTCCATATTGGTCAGGCTGGTCTCGAACTCCTGACTTCAGGTGACCCGCCTGCCTCAGCCTCCCAAAGTGCTAAGATTACAGGCGTGAGCCACCATGCCTGGCCTGCATCTCCTCTGTTTAACTGGTACTCCGGGGTCCACTGAGTAGAAGTTGCCAAAGTGGGTGATAGAGCGGGTAAGCAGGTATTAGAGCTATAGCCCAGCTGTACTCAGCAATTCCATTTTCTGTGTATGATAATCAACAAGCATCTCAAACTGCACAATGGCTATATACCATTACAAGGTTAACCTGATGTTATGTTTTTCTCTATCAGATCAACATGGTTGAGAATAAGAGGAATGAAAAAAAGGATTAAAAAGAGAAATGAAAGTCTTTAATATTACATTTTATTATTTACTTCATTTATTTTTTAGACAAAAATCTCACTCTATTGCTCAGGCTGGAGTGCAGGGGCCCGATCTCAGCTCACTGTAACCTCCGCCTCCCAGGTTCAAGTGATTCTCCTGTGTCAGCTTCCTGAGTAGCTGGGATTATAGGGATGCACCATCACACCCAACTAACTTTTATATTTTTAGTAGAGATGGACTTTCACCATCTTGCCTAGGCTGGTCTCAAACTCCTGACCTCAAGTGATCTGCCCACCTCACTCTCCCAAAGTGCTGGCATTACAGGCATGACCCACCACATCTGGCCTCATTTTATATTTAAAAATAAAAAATAAGCAAATCAAGCCAGGTACAGTTTAGGCAACATGGTAAAACCCCAACTCTACTAAAAATACAAAAATTAGCTGAGCATGGTGGCAGGTGCCTGTAGTCCCAGCTACTCGGGAGGCAGAGGATAGGATGGCTTGAACCCAAGAGGCACAGGTTGCAGTGAGCTGAGATGGTACCACTGCACTCCAGCTTGGGCAACAGAGAGACTGTCTTTTTTTTTTTTTTTTTTTTTTTTTTTTTTTTTTTTTTTGAGATCGCCCAGGCTGGAGTACAGTGGCACGATCTCGGCTCACTGCAAGCTCCGCCTCCCGGGTTCACACCATTCTCCTGCCTCAGCCTCCTGAGTAGCTGGGACTACAGGCGTCCGCCACCACGCCCGGCTAATTTTTTGTATTTTTTTAGTAGAGACAGGGTTTCACCGTGTTAGCCAGGATGGTCTTGATCTGCTGACCTCGTGATCCACCCGCCTCAGCCTCCTAAAGTGCTGGGAATTACAGGCGTGAGCCATCACGCCCCACCTGAGACTGTCTTTTAAAAAAAAAAAAAAAAAATCAATGTGGAACACTCCTTTGCCACCTAGAATAATCAGGAAAGGTGACCCATGCCCTGTGCCTCCTTAACAGACTTTCAGGTACTTGGGAATTTGAAACAAATCTCCTTGATGCACAAAGTAACCTTTTCTTCCCCCATTGTACCCCAGGTTGAAAATCGATGACTTTAATGATGAACTCAATAAGCTGCTGGAAGAAATAGAAGAAAAAAACCCACAACTGATTATTGATACTGAGAAACATCATCCCTGGGCAGAAAGGCCTTCTTCTCATGACTTCATGATCTGAATCCCCCCGAGTCATTCATTCTCCATGAAGTCATCGATTTTCCAGGTGTTGGTGAACTGCCTGTGACTCCTCTCCTCCCCGGCCCCTACCCCTCAGGGATAATGAGTTCATTGCTGGGCTAGATGTTTTAGCCATGATTCTGCCTCTGTTTTATACCTGCACACATCCTTATCTTTGTTACATATGAAATATCTGTATCACGGGTATATTGAGAGAAATAAAGGTGAGAGCATTCACAAATGAAGCTGTTACTTAATAATGGGCTTTGACAAGTTAGAGAAAAGATATCTTACTGGGTAGAACCTGGGGGGTGGGGGAAGTGACAGTGTTTAATTGCATTGATTTCTATTGCCTTGTCAATCTTTGCCTTGCCTTGGTATTTCCTTTCTTTTTTCTTTTCTTTTTTTTTTTTTTTTTTTTTAGACTGAGTTTCACTCTGTTGCCCACGCTGGAGTACACTGGCACGATCTCAGCTTACTACAACCTGGCAGGTTCAAGCGATTCTCCTGTCTCAGCCTCCTGAGTAGCTGGGATTACAAGCATCCCCCACCACACCCGGCTAAATTTTTTTGTATTTTTAATAGAGATGAGGTTTCACCATGTTGGCCAGTCTGGTCTCAAACTCCTGACCTCAAGTGATCCACCCACCTCAGCCTCCCAGAGTGCTGGGATTACAGGCATGAGCCACTGTACCCGGCTTTTTTTTTTTTCTTTTTCTTTTTCCTCAAGCATGAGTGTTGCTCTGTTGCCCAGGCTGGAATACAGCAGCATGATGATAGCTCACTGCAGCCTCAAGCTCCCAGGTTCAAGCGATCCTCCAGCCTCAGCCTCCTCAGTAGCTGGGACTACAGGTGCACACCACCAAACCAGGCCAATTTTTGTGGGATTTTTTTTGAAGACAGGGTCTCACTATGTTGCCCAGGCTGATCTCAAACTCCCAGGCGCAAGTAATATTCCTGCCTCAGCCTCCCAAAGTGCTAGGATTACAGGTGTGAACCACTGTGCCTAGCCTGTCTTGTTACTTGTTGACCTGCGTGGATCACTGCCTGCTGAGTATTACTTGCCAGAGGATTTCTCCTACCAATCTACAATATTTTAGGTGCTTCGGTGTAGCTCATATATGACCATGTCATTGCTCTGATTTTGCTTTTTAAAAATTCTAACTTAAAATAGAATCTCGGCCAGGCACGGTGGCTCACACCTGTAATCCCAGCACTTCGGGAGGCTGAGGTGGGTGGATCACGAAGTCAGGAGTTGGAGACCAACCTGGCCAACGTGGTGAAACCCCGTCTCTACTAAAAATATAAAAAATTAGCCAGGCATGGTGGCACATGCCTGTAATCCCAGCTACTTGGGAGGCTGAGGCAGGAGAATTGCTTAAACCCAGGAGGTGGATGTTGCACTGTGCTGAAGACTGCACTACTGCATTCCAGCTTGGGCAACAGAGTGACTCCTTCTCCAAAAAAAAACAAAATCTCATGGTATGCATAGTTTTTCACTATAGAGTCTCCATTATTTCCTTGTGATACAGAATTCCAAATTCAACAAAGCAGCAGTGCAAGCTCTACGCTGTAAAACCACAAACAAAACGAACTGTACTATAAAGACAACACTAGTTGGCAAAGTTGCTTCTCATGGGGAGACTTTGTTGCTGTCTGTGTTTACTGGATGAGCAAACAAATGGACGGTAAGGGGGAAAAAGAACAGTACAAATTTTTATTAAACACTAATCATGTTTTTTTTTGTTTGTTTTGAGACAGTTTCTTCTTGTTGCCCAGGCTGGAGTGCAATGGCACGATTTTGGCTCACTGCAACCTCCGCCTCCCCGGGTTCAAGCGATTCTCTTGCCTCGACCTACTGAGTAGCTGGGATTATAGGCATGTGCCACCAAGCCTGGCTAATTTTGAATTTTTAGCAGAGACGGGGTTTTTCCATGTTGGTCAGGCTGGTCTCGAACTCCCGACCTCAGGTGATCCACCAGCCTTGGTCTCCCAAAGTGCTGGGATTACAGGTATAAGTCACCGCACCTGGCAACATTTTTTTCTTTTTTTTTTTTTTTTTTTTTTTTTTTTTTGGTGGCAGAATCTTGCTCTTTCACCCAGGCTGGAATGCAATGGCACGATCTCGGGTCACTGCAGCCTCCACCTCCCCAGTTTAAGCAGTTCTCCCATCTCAGCCTCCCATGTAGCTGGGACCACAGGTGTGCACCACTGCACCCAGGTAATTTTTGCATTTTTGGTAGAGATAGGGTTTTGCCACGTTGTCCAGACTGGTCTTGAACTCCTGAGCTCAGGTGATCTGCCCACCTTGGCCTCCCCAAATGCTGGGATTATAGGCATGAGCCACCACACCTGGTCAAAAGTAGTTTTAATATTTAAATTTAAAACTAAAAAAGTTAATCTCTCTTCCTACTTTCATTTCTTCATCAGGGGCTATTGGTTTATTCCCACCGACTAGATCCAAGTTCTCTGATACTACCTTTAAACCACTCCATCACTTTCCAGTTCCACTGCATACAGTGTGGGCTTCTGAGGTTTCCTGGTTCAAGGTGTCCTTGTTCAATGCGGCATGGGTCATTCCCTGAGCATTTTTTTTTTTTTTTGACAGTCTCGCTCCATTGCCCGGTTTGGAGTGCAGTGGTGTGACCTCGGCTTACTGCAGCCTCTGCCTCCCAAGTTCAAGCAATTCTGCCTCAGGCTCCCGGATAATTTTTGCATTTTTAGTAGAGACAGGGTTTCACCGCGCTGGCCAGGCTGGTCTCGAACCCCTAACCTCAAGCGATCTGCCTGCCTCGGTCTCCCAAAGTGCTGGGATTACAGACATAAGCTACCGTGCCCGGCCTCCAGAGCATCTTTATTCTCAGTTTCAGCGGGAAGAAGGGGGAAGGTTGGTAAAAAGAGAGGCACAAAGTTTAAAAAGGACATTGCGTGAAGAAACTAAAGGTTTCTCCTTCTCCACACTATTGACATTTGGGATCGGATCACTACTCGTTGGGAAACGTCCTGTACATTTCCAGGGTGTTCGGCACCATCCCTAGCCTCTACCCCCTAGATACCAGCTCACATCCTCACAGTTAACAGTGATCAAAAATGTCTCTGGGCAGTAGAAAATATTTCCTGAAATGCAAAGTTTTCTTAGGTTGAGAACCATTGTAATCTAGCCCCATCTTTAGAGAAGAAATTGAGTAACGGATCTACATCCATTGAGGAACTATCGACACCCCAGGGGCCCATGAAATGTAAACTCGCACTCACAATTAACCATCTTTCTCCAACGTGTGTATTTCATGTAGCCACACTCTCAGATGCCCACCCCCATGACCTACAAGTCCTAAACAGGGAAACCTGTGGCACATGGGTTCATGTGTGTCTGAATCTATACGTTCAGAGATGAACAAGTACTGCTCTCCCTATACCTGTGACCACTCGCCTCCGCCCATCACTGAATTCTGAAAATGTGGCCTCAGGCTCACAGCAGCATTAGCACTTGCTTGCTCTGGATCTCATCACATTGATGATCAAGAACAAAGTATTCACTGGGTTCTCTGCTAAGGATACAAAAAAAACCATTCCACAATTCCACGGCCATGTTTGCACCCAGGAACCACGAGGGCTGGGTTAGCCCAGATGGTGGGCTTGGGAAATGTTCCTGGAGCAAAAAAAAGAGCCAGAAGTCATGAGAGCCTGACCCCCTCCCCCAACGCGCACACACACACACCACTCTCTACCTCCAAGCCTCATTTTCAGGCTTCTCAAAGCTAAGGTCACTCCCATGAGCTAAGCCGCGCTTTTCTCAATCCTCAGCTCTTCCACAAGAATAGGAAGAACTCTCTCCTGTTCAAGATCCTGTGGCTCAGCTGCAGCTCTGGAAGAAAGACCCCGGTGAGGGTCTTGCTTTTCACAATCCCCAATCCCAGACCACATCCTGTGCCCCAAAACAACTTCCATGGTAACCACATCCTTCAGGAAGTGAAGTCAGGCAGGAAGTCAAGTCAGAAGACGGAATGGGCTGGGCATGGTGGATCGCACCTGTAATCCCAGCACTTTGGGAGGCAGAGGCAGGTGGATCACATGAGGTCAGGAGTTTGAGACCAGCCTGGCCAACATGGTGAAACCCTGTCTCTACTAAAAATACCAAAAGTAGCCAGGCTTGGTGGTGCATGCCTGTAATCCCAGCTACTCTGGAGGCTGAGGCAGGAGAATCGCTTAAACCCGGAAGGCGGAGGTTGCAATGAGCCGAGATCGCACCATTGCACTCCAGCCCGGGGGACAGAAAAAAAAATGTAGCTGAGCATGGTAGTGCACGTCTGTGATCTCAGCTACTTGGGAGTCTGAGGCAGGAGAATCACTTGAACCCAGGCGGTGGAGGTTGCAGTGAGCCAAGATTGTAATAGTCCAATGTGTTCACCTTGCCCACTGCCTAGACAGAGCTGATTCGTCAAGACAGGGAATCGCAATAGAGAATAATTCATGCAGAGCTGGCTCTACGAGAGACCAGAGTTTTATTATTATTCAAATCAGTGTCTCCCAGCATTCAGGAAGCGTTTTTAAGGATAACTTGGTGGGTGGGTGGGAAGCCAGTGAGCCAGGAGTGCTGTTTGGTCAGGGATGAAATCGTGGGAGCCAAAGCTATCTTCTTGCACTCAGTTCCTGAGTGGAGGCCAAAAGATAAGATGGGCCAGTTTATTGATATGGGTGGTGCCAGCTGATCCATCAAGTACAGGGTCTGCAAGTTAAACGCTGATCTTAGAAGCAGTTTAGGGAGGGTCACAATCTTGTAGCCTCCAGCTGCATGACTCCTAAGTCATAATTTCTAATCTCGTGGCTAATGTTCGTCCTACAGGGCCAATCTAGTCCCCAGGCAACAAAGAGGTGTGCTTTGGAAAAGGGCTATCATCTTTGTTTAAACTATAAGTTTCTCCCAAAGTTCAGCCTATGCCCAGGAATGAAAAAGGACAGCTTGGAGGTTAGAAGCAAAATGGAGTCAGTTAAATCTCTTTCACTGTCTCAGTCATAATTTTGGAAAGGTGGTTTCAAGCTGGCACAACTGCACTCCACCCTAGGAGACAGAGCGAGACCCTGTCAAAAAAAAAAAAAAAAAACAAGAAGTGAAGTCAAGATAGGAGGTAAATTCGGAAGACAGGAAGTGGTGGTAGAAGACAAGAAGTGAAGTCATACAGGAAGTAAAGTCAGAAGACAGGAAGTGAAGTAAGAAGACAGGAAGTGGTTGTAGAAGACAGGAAGTGAGGTCATACAGGAAGTAAAATCAGAAGACAGGAAGTGACGTCAAACCAGGATTTGCAGTCGGAGGCAGGCAAGAAGTGAAATCAGAAGACGGGAAGTGGCTGAGGGGAACGTCTTTTCTCTCTCCTGCTCAGCCCGAAGTGAACAGGTAGCATCAGGTGTGCCATTTCAGTGACTGGGCACAGCCCAGGCACCCACATCTCTCTGCAGCGCCTATTCTTGGAACACCAGAGACCTCTACACTATTTTCTGTTGCTTTTTTCCTTCATTTTCAGAGATGAGATCCTGGATTGAATGACTACTATGGAAAGTGATTGACCAAGGTAAGTCACAACTATCTTGTTCTTTAATTTTGGTGTTGTTTGTTATGACTTGTTAGCCGTCTAGCACTCATAGCTTTGCATTTCCACTCTGCATTACTTGTATTTTTATTATTTTGTGATATTCGTAATAATTTATTATAAAACTGTGTTATTTTTGGATATTTTTAAGTTAAAATGCGATTTTTTAACTAAGTGGCAGTATGCAAAGCAAGTGGTTCAGAACTCTCCCCCATTAATAAGTCTTCTCTCCTGAAAGAAACAATTTTGAGACTTCCTGTTCTTAATTCTGTTTAACAGCATACTTCTAAAAGAAAAAGTGTATACTGTTATTATTTATTGTGTTACAAAAATATACACGCACCTTTCATGCACGTCCGTGTGAAGAGACCACCAAACAGGCTTTGTGTGAGCAATAAAGCTTTTAATCACCTGGGTGCAGGTGGGCTGAGTCTGACAAGAGAGTCAGCGAAGGGGGATAGGGGTGGGGCCGTTTTATAGGATGTGGGTAGGTAAAGGAAAATTACAGTCAAAGGGGGGTTGTTCTCTGGCGGGCAGAGTCGGGGTCATAAGGTGCTCAGTAGGGGAGCTTTTGAGCCAGGATGAGCCAGGAGAAGGAATTTCACAAGACAATGTCATCAGTTAAGGCAGGAACAGGCCATTTTCGCTTCTTTTGTGGTGGAATGTCATCAGTTAAGGCACGAACCGGCCATCTGGATGTGTACGTGCAGGTCACAGGGGATATGATGGCTTAGCTTGGGCTCAGAGGCCTGACATTCCTGTCTTCTTATATTAATAAGAAAAATAAAATGAAATAGGGGTAAAGTGTTGGGACAGCAAAAATTTTTGGGGGTGGTATGGAGAGATAATGGGTGATGTTTCTCAAGGCTGCTTTGAGCAGGATTAGGGGCGGCGTGGGAACCTAAAGTGGGAGCGATTAAGCTGAAGGAAGATTTTGTGGTAAGGGGTGACATTGTGGGATTGTTAAAAGAAACATTTGTCATTTAGAATTATTGGTGATGGCCTGGATACAGTTTTGTATGAATTGAAAAACTAAAGGGAATAAGGAAAGGAGAAAAACAGGTATTAAAGGTCTAAGAATTGGGACGACTCAGGACATCTAATTAGAAAGTGCCTAAGGAGGTTCAGCATAGCCTTGCCAGCAAAGATTATTTATTTATTTTAAGAGTTAACAGTGGCGGTATGGGGATAGTACCAGGAGATACCAGCTGTGCTGGCTTGGAGAAACAGTGTAAACTGGCAGTGTAAACAAGAGCAGGGCATGTGTGAGTAGTTGAGAACGGTGAATAGGAGTATGACTAGACAGAAGATAGTAGGGATGACAAGTTTTTTGGGGCACAATCTAAGTTGGTCTGGTGTCTGGAATGAGACTGGGGCCTAATAAAAAGGAGTGTCTACACAGGAGCTTAAATGGGCTGTATCTTGTAGCATTCCAAGGACAGGCCTGAATTCTGGAAGCGAAAATGGTAAAAGTATTGTCCAGTCCTTTTTAAGTTGGTGGCTGAGCTTGGTGAGGTGTGTTTTTAATAGACCATTAGTCTGTCACTGAATACTAAGAGCCTGAAAAAATGCTTGGCTGATTTGACTAATAAAGGCTGGTCTGTTAGCAGACTGTATAGAGGTGGGAAGGCTGAACTGAGGAATTTTGTCTGACAGAAGGGAATGACAAGGCTAAACTGAAGAATTATGTCTGACAGAAGGGAAGAAATGACTGCGGTGGCCTTCTCAGACCCTGTAGGAAAGGACTGTACTTACCCAGTGAAAGTGTCTACCTAGACTAAGAGGTATTTTAGTTATCTTACTCGGGGCATGTTGAGTAAAGCTAATTTGCCAGTCCTGGGCGGGGGCAAATCCTTGAGCTTGATGTGTAGGGAAGGGAGGGGGCCTGAATAATCCATGAGGAGTAGTAGAATAGCTGATGCAACACTGAGAAGTGATTTCTTTGAGGATAGATTTCCACAATGGAAAGGAAATGAGAGGTTCTAAGAGGCTGGCTAGTGGCTTGTACCATAGCATAGCCTGCCTTTGCTGGTGTGTGGCGATTAGGCCTGGTGGAACCGCCATCAATAAACTAAGTGTGATCAGGGTGAGAAACAGGGAAGAAGGAAATGTGGGGAAATGGGGTGAACGTCAGGTGGATCAGAGAGATGCAGTCATGGGGGTCAGGTGTGGTATCTGGAATAATGTGGGAGGCCAGATTGAAGTCCGGGCCAGGAACAATGGTAATTGTGGGACTTAACAAAGAGTGAGTACAGCTGAAGGAGCCAGGGAGCAGAAAGTATATGCATCAGGTGTGAGTAAGAAAATAGATTTTGGAAATTATGAGAGCTGTAGAGAGTGAGTTGAGCATAGTTTGTGATTTTGAGGGCCTCTAAAAGTATTAAAGCAGCGGCAGCCACAGCACGCAGATATGAGGGCTAGGCTAAAACAGTAAGGTCAAGTTGTTTGGACAGAAAGGCTACAGGGTGTGGTCCTGGCTCTTGTGTAAGAGTTCTGACCGCGCTAACCATGCCTAGGAAGGAAAGGAGTTGTTGTTTTGTAGAAGGTGCTGGGGCTTGAGAGATCAGTCAGACACGATCAGCAGGGAGAGCACGTGTGTTTTTATGAGAATTATGCCGAGATAGGTAACAGATGAGGATGAACTTTGGGCTTGACTGAAGTAATGGGGGCTGTCTGTGAAACCTTGCAGCAGTACAGCCCAGGTAATTTGCTGAGCCTAATGGGTGTCAGGGTCAGTCCAAGTGAAAGCGAAGAGAGGCTGGGACGAGGGGTGCAGGGGAATAGTGAAAAAAGCATCTTTAAGATCAAGCATGGAATAGTGAGTTGTGGAGGAAGGTATTGAGGACAAAAGAGTGTAGGGGTTGGGCACCACAGGGTGCATAGGCAAAACAATTTGATAAGGCGCAGATCCTGAACTAATCTGTAAGACTTTTCCGGTTTTTGGACAGGTAAAATGGGGGAATTGTAAGGAGAGTTTATAGGTTTTAGAAGCCCATGCTATAGCAGGCGAGTGATAACAGGCTTTAATCCTTTTAAAGTGTGCTGTGGGATGGGATATTGGCATTGAGCAGGGTAAGGGTGATTAGGTTTTAATGGGATGGTAACGGGTATGTGATCAGTTGCCAGGGAAGGAGTAGAGATGTCCCATACTTGTGGGTTAAGGTGGGGGAATAGGAGAGGAAGACGCGAAGGAGGCTTTGGGTTGAGGAGAAGGGTGGCAATGAGATGCGGCTGTAGTCCAGGAATAGTCAGGGAAGCAGATAATTTGGTTAAAATATCTCGGCCTAATAAGGGAACTGGGCAGGTGGGGATAACTAAAAAAGAGTGCATAAAAGAGTGTTGTCCAAGTTGGCACCAGAGTGGGGGAGTTTTCAGGGGTTTAGAAGCCTGGCCGTCAATACCCACAACAGTTATGGAGGCAAGAGAAACAGGCCCTTGAAAAGAAGGTAATGTGGAGTGGGTAGCCTCCGTATTGACTAAGGCGACGGACTTACCTTCCACCGTGAGTGTTACCCGAAGCTCGGCATCCGTGATGGTCTACAGAGCTTCCGAGGCGATTGGGCAGCATCAGTCTTCAGCCGCTAAGCCGAGAAGGAGTCAGAGAGCCTTGGGCCAGAGTTCCAGGGGCTCTGGGAGTGGCTGCCAGGTGAGTTGAACAGTCCGATTTCCAGTGGGGTCCCGCACAGATGGGACACGGCTTAGGAGGAATCCTGGGCTGCAGGCATTCCTTGGCCTGGTGGTCAGATTTCTGGCACTTGTAGCAAGCTCCTGGGGGAGGAGGTTCTGGAGGAACGCCTGGCCGCTGCGGTTCAGTTCCCTTCTTGTGTGCTGGAGATGTGGCTGGGGTTTGTCTCACAGTGGAGGCAAGGAATTGCAACTTTTTTCTATTATTGTACACCTTGAAGGCGAGGTTAATTAAATCCTGTTGTGGGGTTTGAGGGCCGGAATTTAATTTTTGGAGTTTTATTTAATGTCGGGAGCAGATTGGGTAATAAAATGTGTATTAAGAATAAGACGGCCTTTTGACTTTTAAGGGTCTAGGGCTGTAAAGCTTCTCAGGGTTGCTGGCGAACGAGCCATGAATTGGGCTGGATTTTTATATTTGATGAAAAAGAGCCTAAACACTATCTGATTTGGGATAAAGAAAAAGGAGCATTAACCTTGACTATGCCTTTAGCTCCAGCCACCTTTCTAAGAGTAAATTGCTGGGCAGGTGGAAGAGGGCTAGTCACTGAACGAAACTGTAAGCTGGACCAGGTGTGGGGAGGGGAGGTGATAAAAAGATAATACGGTGGAGGAGCGGAGGCTGAGGAAGAATTGGGACCTAGCTCAGCCTGGGGAGGAGGGAGAGGTCAGACGGGTCTGTAGAAAAGGAAGATTAGAAAGACTCAGCGACGCTTGGGGTTGAGACTGAGGGGACAGGCAGGAGGGAAAGAAGGAAGATTTGGGACGAGTTGCACTGGGCACAGAGACTAGGAAGGGACTGATGTGTAAAAGAATGCCTGGACGTCAGGCACCTCAGACCGTTTGCCCATTTTACGACAAGAATTATTTAGATCTTGCAGGATGGAAAAATTGAAAGTGCTGTTTTCTGGCTATTTGGAACTGCTGTCCAGTTTGTATTGGGGTCAAGCGGCATTGCAGAAGAAAATAAGGCATTTAGGTTTTAGGTCAGGTGTGAGTTGAAGAGGTTTTAAGTTTTTGAGAACACAGGCCAAGGGAGAGAAGGAGGAGGAATGGAGGGTGGAAGGTTGCCCATAGTGAAGGAGGCAAGCCTAGAGAAAAGAGAGAGTAGAGACACGGAGGGAAGGGGTTCGGGAGTTCTTACCTTCCAGAAAAGCGGGAAAGGGGTTGGGGCATGGATATAAGGGGTTGGGGCACAGAGATAAGAGGTTGGGGCATGGAAATAAGGGATCAGGGTGCAGAGATACGAGGTTGGGGTACTTGCCCCTCTAGAAAAGCGGGACTTGCCGCTAAGAGTGAAGGAGAAGGGGTTGGGGGTTTCTTGCCCCCCAGAAAGGTGGAGAAGGGGTAGAGACATGGAGAGGAGGGGTTGGGGAACTTGCCCCTTCCCCAGAAAAGTGGGACTTGCCACTAAGGGTGAAGGACCAAGGCAGGCATCCCTGCGTGATCTGACACCTCTGAAGCGTGGGTATATAATCAGAGAGGCGTCCCTGCAATGATTAAACGCCAAGGGAAGGCTGCCTTCCCTAGTCCGTGACCGGCGCCGGAGTTTTGGGTCCACAGATAAAACGTGTCTCCTTTGTCTCTACCAGAAAATGAAAGGAATTGAAATTAAGAGAAGGGAGAGATTGAAGAGTGGAAAGGAGAAAGTGGTTGAGGGACAGTGAGAGAGGTTGGAGAAGAGAGTAAGAAGAGGTCGCTTACCCAATTTAAACTTGGTGAGATGTTCCTTGGGCTGGTGGGTCTGAGGACCTGAGGTCGTAGGTGGATCTTTTTCACAGAGCAAAGAGCAAGACAGGGGATTGATCTCCCAAGGGAGGTCCCCCGATCCAAGTCACGGCACCAAATTTCATGTGCGTCCATGTGAAGAGACCACCAAACAGGCTTTGTGTGAGCAATAAAGCTTTTAATCACCTGGGTGCAGGTGGGCTGAGTCCGACAAGAGAGTCAGCGAAGGGGGATGGGGTGGGGCCGTTTTATAGGATTTGGGTAGGTAAAGGAAAATTACAGTCAAAGCGGGGTTGTTCTCTGGCGGGCAGAGTGGGGGTCACAAGGTGCTCTGTAGGGGAGCTTTTGAGCCAGGATGAGCCAGGAGAAGGAATTTCACAAGACAATGTCATCAGTTAAGGCAGTAACAGGCCATTTTCACTTCTTTTGTGGTGGAATGTCATCAGTTAAGGCAGGAACCAGCCATATGGATGTGTACGTGCAGGTCACAGGGGATATGATGGCTTAGCTTGGGCTCAGAGGCCTGACAGCACCTACCTAAAAAATTCCAATAGCACTAAAAGGGTGTGTACAAAATGCAGTGGCTGACTAACCATCTCCTCCATTGCTCCGCCTAAGAGACACCCACTTTTAGCTGTTTTCTTTAGGAACTTGTTAATATTAGGTTTCTAAAAACATGTAACCATGTGAATGAGCTTAGACTTACTGGATTCCTATCATAATAGGCGGGGCCTTAGTTATTCTACAGCGTTGTTCTTACTGTTTTTTCTCTTCCAATGTTTATCTCTATGTCTGCATATCAACATTCAGTATCACATTTTTTTTTTTTGAGACAGAGTCTCACTCTGTCACCCAGGCTGGAGTGCAGTGGCGCAATCTCAGCTCACTGCAGCCTCAGTCTCCTGAGTAGCTGGGACTACAGGCGTGTGCCACCACGACTGGCTAATTTTTGTATTTTTAGTAGAGACAGGGTTTCACCATGTTGGCTGAGCTGGTCTCGATCTCCTGACCTCGTGATCTGCCCACCTCAGCCTCCCGAAGTGCTGGGATTACAGGCATGAGCCACCACGCCCGGCCAGTATCACATGTTTATACCCACAGATATTCGCAGCCGAGAATTTTCGGGTAATATAACTTGCTTCTTTTATTTTTGTTGTTGTTATTGTTCCCCTAAAGTTTATATTTGTTTTTTATTTTTATTTTCTTTTGAGGCAGGGTCTCACTCTGTCACCCAGGTTTGACAGCAGTGGTGCAATCATGGCTCACTGCAGCCTCAACCTCCCCGGGCTCAGGTGATCCCCAACCTCAGCCTCCTGAGTACCTGAGAGTAGGCATGTGGTACCACACCCAGCTAATTTTTTATATTTTTTGTATATGAGACAAGGTTTCACCATGTTGCCCAGGCTGGTCTCGAACTCTTAGGCTCAAGCGATCCCGCCTCAGCCTCCCAAAGTGCTGGGATTACAGGTGTGAGCCACTGTGCCTAGGCTATACTGGTCTTTTTAAAATCTACTTAGTTTACTTGACCTCTAAAATTATTTTTCCTCTGTCTTCTGATAGCATCTCAGTATGATTTTCCACTATGTTAAGACGAGGAATTGACCCATTCTTACATTTGGAGGCTTCTCTAAGCAACTTTCCCATTCCCCCTTCACCCAAGCTGTGTGCTCACTAGCCCTGATTCACAGCCGTCGTCCTGGAACTTCTTGGTGCCATCCTTCTGTCTTTTCCCAAGTGACTCACCTACCTCAACCTCCCAAAGTGCCGGGATTACAGGCGTGAGCCACTGTGGCCAGCCATTCTTTTCCTTTTTTAAAACAATTTTTATCTTCTTTATTTTAAGTAGAGATGGGGTCTCACTATGTTGCCCAGGCTGGTCTTGAACTCCTGGGCTCAAGCGATCCTCCTGCCTTGGCCTCCCACAGTGCTAGGATTACAGACATGATCCACTGCACTTGGCCCAGTGGTACAGTTTTACACTCATTAGATGGTCAAGAAATGCCTAAACGCTATAATAAATATAGAACTTTACCTTGAGAAGACCTAACATTTCCTTCAGAAAGTAAATATGAGAGGGGTGGAGACGGTGCATTATCTTATTTTTATGATTTTAAAAATGTATACAGAATTGTACATATTTATGGGGTGGACAGCAATATTGCAGTACATGTATACAACGTGCTATGATCAAATCAGGGTAATTGACATATTCATCCCTGTATTTTTTGAGACAAAGTCAGGCTTCGTCACCCGAGCTAGAGTGCAGTGGTGTGATCTCAGCTCACTGCAACCTCTGCCTCCCAGGCTCAAGCCATTCTCCCACCTCAGCCCCCTGAGTTGCTGGGAGTATAGGGATGCACCACCACACCTGGCTAATTTTTGTGTTTTTTTGTTTTGTTGGTAGAGATGAGGTTTCACCATGTTGCACAGGCTGATCTTGTTTTCTAATGTGAAGGGAAGCGGGCAACGTGCTAGTTTTACACTAAGGAAAATGAATGACATACCCAAACTGCCTGCAAGACCCGTTCTGAGAGACGAAAGGAGATTTGTTAGACCGCAGTGGGAGATGGAGTGAGGGTGAGAGTTTCTGGGGAAAACCAGACAAGAGCACAGAGGGCCAAAGGGAAGCACGGGAGGATTTTGCACAGAGGATGGAACAGAGTCAACCCTGAGAGCTGGGAACCTTAGAGATCCGTCTGGAGCCCATATTAGAGAGGTTGAAGAAAGAGGCCAGTATGTGGTCCAGCCAGGGTACCATGTCATCCACAGTGTGCAGGGAGGAGGATGGGGTCTCCACAGATTCCTTCCATCCCAAATGGAGGGTGCCCTCAGACAGAGAGGCAGACAGACAGACAGACACTGGCCGAACGGCTCCCTGATGGAACACCAGGAGGAGGCAGCATGGCCTCGTTTCCACAGCTGTAGCCTCTGCCCTCCTGCTTCCACGCTCCACACACGCCAGTCTTTGAGTCGCCTCCCATGCCATGATCCCTCCCTTGGATACGACCGTGCCTGGGGTTCAGCGGTCATGAACATAACCCGCGGCTGTGAACATCCTGTCGGCCTCCATCCTGACCCCCGTTTGATTTCCGGGTCAGCGGGAGGGGCGGGAGGGGCGGAAGCGGCCTCTGCACAGCCCTGCCCCTGTGCCGCAGGCGCTTCCTCCGGCTGTGCCAGTCCTCTGCCAGAAACCCCGCCAGGATTATTAGGATCACAGCCCCGAGGCATATCCGGACCAGGTTGCCCTTGGTGTAGTACTGGCGGGCAGGACCTGGAGGAATGAGGAGAGGCAGGAGCAGGTGAAAGAGCCCACCTCCAGGACCCCCTCCAAGCCACATCTGGGCTTCTCAGAGATCCTATTATTCTCTACTAGCTAGGGGATGCCGCTCACTTTCCTGGAGGGTCCCTCCCTTCCCGAGTAGGGGTCAGGGCCAGATGACCCCAATTCTCTAAGTAGCACCTCTCCCTCCTGTGCTCTCACAGGGCTCTGAGACAACTCCTCCCCAGACACAGATGCTGCCTCGTTATCTGATGCATTGCAAAAGAGAGGACAGTTATAAGGGGTGGGGAAGAGATGGAATCTCTCTTTCTCTGACCCTTTTTAAAATCTCAACCTTCCCACCTGATCTTAATGCCCAATTCTGAACCCCATACGCTGATATTCTGCCTTTACTCTACACACTGGAACCCAAGATCTGAGAGCTGCAGCCCCTGCGTAGACAAAGGAGTTGGCTTTGGTGAAGAGACGGGTGAGAAGGAAGGGGGTCTGGAGAGGATGACTTACTCACCAGCTGGAGAGTCTGACTCCTTTGGACTGGCGGTGATACTCCTAGAAGTCTCTGGGAACCAAACAAAGGCTAAGTGTGAAATGAAACCATATTCCCGCCCCCTGTCACTGTGCCTACTCCGAACACACACACACATGGGGAGGCACAATTCCACAGCATTTAAGAAAAGCATGGGCCGGGCACGGTGCCTCATGCCTATAATCCCAGCACTTTGGGAGGCTGAGGTAGGAGGCTGGCTTGAGTCCAGGAGTTCAAGACCAACCTGAGCAACATAGAAAAACCCTATCTCTACAAAAAAATACAAAAATTAGCCAGGCGTGGTGGCACGTGCCAGTAATCCCAGCTACTCAGTGGAGGCTGAGGCAGGAAGATCACCTGAGCCCTGGGAGGTTGAGGCTGCAGTGAGCCAGGATTGTACCACTGCACTCTAGCCTGGGAAACAGAGCGAGACCCTGTCCAAAAAAAAAAAAGCAAGAACTGTAGAGTCAGGCTGTCCTCCAGATTTGAACCCCAACTCTATCACCTATTAGATGTCAGTTATCTGGCAAGTGACTCAGCATCTGTGAGCCAGTTCCCCATGTGTCCAATAAAATTAACAAGATCCCTTATAGGTTGATGTGAAAGTCAAGATAATAATAATGGTAGAAATATAAAGCACCGTGCTTGACATATGAGCACCTCATACGTGCCAGCTTTTTTTTTTTTTTTTTTGAGACAGAGTCTGGCTCTGTCTCCCAGGCTGGAGTGCAGTGGCCCGATGTCGGCTCACTTCAACCTCCGCCTCCTGGGCTCAAGCGATTCTCCTGCCTCAGCCTCCCGAGTAGCTGGGACTACAGGCGTCCGCCACCACGCCCAGCTAAGTTTTGTATTTTTAGTAGAGATGGGATTTCACCATATTGGCCAGGTTGGTTTTGAACTCCTGACCTTGTGATCCGCCCGCCTAGGCCTCCCAAAGTGCTGGGATTACAGGCGTGAGCCACTGCACCCGGCCTCCAGCTCTCTTATTCCTCAAGTATCTCCTGAGACTCGCCAGGTACTCAGCCATGTGCTGGGCCATGGGAACCCAAATATTAATAAGACATTGTCAGGCCAGGCATGACACTGGCTGAATGCCTGTAATCCCAGCACTTTGGGAGGCCAAGGTGGGCGGATCACCTGAGGTCAAGAGATCGAGACCATCCTGGCCAACATGGTGAAACCCCGTCTTTACTAAAAATACAAAAAATAGCTGGGCATGGTGGCACACACCTGTAGTCCCAGCTACTCAGGAGCCGGAGATTGCAGTGAGCTGAGATCGCAGAGTGAGCCGAAATCACAGATCACAGAGTGAGCAGAGTGAGACTCCGTCTCAAAAACAACAACAAAAAACAAAAAAACCATAAGACATTGTCCATCTGCGGTTCCCAGACTATTGCAGGAGACCAAAAAGTAAAGCGATTTTTTTTTTTTTTTAATACGGAGTCTCACTCTGTTGCCCAGGCTGGAGTGCTGTGGTGTGATCTCAGGTCACTGCAACCTCCAACTCGTGAGTTCAAGCGATTCTCCTGCCTCAGCCTCCCAAGTAGCTGGAATTACAGGTGCCCACCACCACGCCCGGCTAATTTTTGTATTTTCAGTAGAGACGGGGTTTCAGCATGTTGGCCAGGCTGGTCTCCTGACCTCAGGTGATCCACTCACCTTGGCCTCCCAAAGTGCTGGGATTACAGACAAAGCGATAATTTTAATATACTGTAAAAATTGCTGTAATAGGCAGCCCACAAGACACTGAGCGAGAGCAGAGGAAACCATCGATCCAGCCTGGACGGTCAAGGCTTTCTTGAGGAATTGATGCCATGGGGAAATGGAAGAAAAGGCAGAGTGAGTGGGTTGGGTGCAGAGTCAGGAGAGGTTAGGAAGCCTCCAGGAGAGCTTCAAGTGACTGTGTGTGGCTGAGAACAGCATGGGAATGCGTGGAAGGTATGCAGACAAAATTGGAGGGATCAACAGGGGCTGGATATCTAAGCTCACAGAATAGCAAGCTGAGGAATTGGAACTGCATCCTGAGGGTGATTGGGAGGTTCCGAACTGAAGATAGGGAAGGCTTCCATCACAGAACTCCCTGGGATATGCCGGGCGCGGTGGCTCATGCCTCCAATCCCAGCACTTTGGGAGGCCGAGACAGGTGGATCATGAGGTCAGGAGTTCAAGACCAGCCTTCCCAAGATGCTGAAACCCCGTCTCTACTAAAATACAAAAATTAGCCAGGTGTGGTGGCATGCACCTATAATCCCAGCTACTCGGGAGGCTGAGGCAGGAGAATCGCTTGAACCCGGGCAGCAGAGGTTACAGTGAGCCGAGATCGCACCACTGCACTCCAGCCTGGGCGACAGAGCAAGACTCCACCTCAAAAAAATAAAAAATAGAACTACGTGGGATCAGGTGCCTCATGAAAGCCAGAGTCATGTGGGCCCAGTGGAAGTATCTAACCTATTATCAGGGAATCTGTGAAGGTGTTTAGTCTGGAAGGAAATGGAGATTTTCCAGGACAGGCAAGGGGAAAGAGACTGAGGAAAGCGTATCTGCAGAGGCCTGGAGCGGTTAGAAGATGTGCTGTGTCCAGGTGCCTACAGTCTGTGTGCGTCCGAGCATGGGCTCTACCTGGACACAGTGAGGAGCGAGATTAAATACCTGGATCACAGCCGAGTCCAAAGCCTAGGACTTCATCCTGGGAGCAGTGCGTAGGGATGGCGGTCGTCCCGCCACAGCCTTGGCTCCGCCATCTTTGAAATGGCCCCATCACCCAAAACGCTCCTCCTTCTGAACCCCAGAGCTCCACTCTGCACCCATGCTCTAGCCTCACACCAAGGACTTTCTTGGTAAGAGACGGACAGTTCGGTGAAGTGATTAAAAGCCTACAGGCTTAGATAATGGAAGAGAGAGCTCCGTCCTCACACTCCTTTCTGCTGAGCATGAAATGCCTGGTTACTCACCAGTTGTGAAGACTTCGTTTGTGAATGAGACGGTCAGTTCAGCGGTGGCTTCTGAGAATTCTAAGAAAGCAAAACAATGTTAGGTCTTCCCCGTGGTTCCCTATATCCTCTAGATATCTCCATTCCCCTTTTGAGATATCTAGGCTCCCTGAAACCCCTTTCTCTGACACACTGCACAGACACTGAAGACAGACAAATTCGAAAGGTGTAAGACTTATCTTCCATGACCGGCTTAGTAAGAAGCAGATCCGTTCAGCAATTGATAGACACTTGGTTTTTTTTCCACGTTTTGCTGTTATGAATATTGCTGCTGTGAACATTGACGTACAGGTTTTTGTGTGAACATAAGTTTTCTGTTCTCTTGGGTACACACCCAGGGGTGGTGGAATCACTGGGTCATACAGTAACTCTGTGTTTTACTTTTTGAAGAACTACCAGACTTCTTTCTTTTTTTTCTTTTTTTTTTTTTTTTGAGACAGAGTCTCATTCTGTTGCCCAGGCTGGAGTGCAGTGGCGCGATCTCAGCTCACTGCAACCTCCACCTCCTGGGTTCAAGCGATTCTCCTCCCTCAGCCTCCCGAGTAGCTGGGATTACAGGCACCTGCCATCACGCCTGGCCAACTTTTTTTTTTGTACTTTAGTAGAGGCGGGGTTTCACCATGTTGGCCAGGATGGTCTCGATCTCCTGACCTCGTGATCCACCCTCCTTGGCCTCTCAAAGTGCTGGGATTACAGGCTGCGCCTGGCCACAGACTGTTTTTCAAAGCAGCTGCACCATTTTATATTCCCACCAGCAATATAAGAAGGTTCTTCCAAATCCTCACCAATACTTCTTGTCCGTTTGTTTTGTTTTAAAAATCATAGTCATCCTAGTTGGCATGGTGAATTTTATGGTATGTGAATTATATCTCAGTTTGAATAATAAGATGTGGATCCATGTCTTCGTGAGCCTAGAGGAAGAATGAGCTCGTGTTAGCCTCAGAACACGGGATCTCCACCTTCCAACTTAGGCCATTTTCTTTTTTTCTTTTTTTTTTTTTTTTTGAGACAGAGTCTTACTCTGTCGTCCAGGCTGGAGTGCAGTGGTGCAATCTCGGCTCACTGCAAGCTCTGCCTCCCGGGTTCACACCATTATCCTGCCTCAGCCTCCCGAGTAGCTGGGACTACAGGCACCCGCCACCACGCCTGGCTAATTTTTTTGTATTTTCAGTAGAGATGGGGTTTCACCGTGTTAGCCAGGATGGTCTCGATCTCCTGACCTTGTGATCCACCCGCCTCAGCCTCCCAAAGTGCTGGGAATACAGGCGTGAGCCACCGCGCCCGGCCAGGCCATTTTCTTAACCAGGGGCCTCCTGAGGCCACCAAAATATTCCTGAACTGCCTCAGCTGATAAATACGAAGCTCTTGTTGCAGTGGGTACTATCCTGGGAGTCTTTTTATGGTGGAACCAGCTTGGAAAAAACTAGTTTATGCTCAGCTCTCGGTGGCATAATGAGAGTGTGGGTATTATTTGGTCTTTGTTATTTCTCTTCGTGTGAGATGCATTAATAAACCTTTTTTTTTTTTTTCAATTAAAATTTCAGTTCCAGAATCCATGTGCAGGACGTGCAGGTTTGTTACATAGGTAAACGTGTGCCATGGTGGTTTGCTGCACCCATCAACCCATCACCTAGGTATTAAGCCCCACACGCATCAGCTATTTATCCTGATCCTCTCCCTCCCCCAATTCCCCCTACAGGCCCCAGTGTGTGGTGTTCCCCTCCCTGTGTCCATGTGATCTCATTGTTCAGCTGCCACTTACAAGTGAGAACATGCAGTGTTTGGTTTTCAGTTCCTGTGTTAGTTTGCTGAGGATAATGTTTTCCAGCTCCATCCATGTCCCTGCAAAGGACATGATCTCATTCCTTTTTATGGCTGCATAGTATTCCATGGTGTATATGTACTGTATTTGCTTTATCCTTTCTATCATTGATGGGCATTTGGGTTGATTCCTTGTCTTTGCTATTGTGAATAGTGCTGCAATGAACATATGTGTGCATGTATCTTTATAATACAATGATTTATATTCCTTTGGGTATATAACCAGTAATGGGATTGCTGGGTCAAATGGTATTTCTGGCCAGGCGCAGTGGCTCACACATGTAATCCCAGCACTTTGGGAGGCCGAGGTGGGCAGATCACCTGAGGTCAGGAGCTCAAGACCACCCTGGCCAACATGGTGAAACTCCCGTCTCTAGCAAAAATCCAAAAATTAGCCAGGCGTTGTGGCATGCACCTGCAGTCCCAGCTACTCGGGAGGCTGAGGCAGGAGAATCACTTGAACCCTGGAGGCAGAGGCTGCAGTGAGCCGAGATCATGCCCCTGCAATCCAGCCTGGGTGACAGAGTGAGACTCTGTTTAAAAAAAAAAAAAAAAAAAAAAGGTGGCCCTGGTGCGGTGGCTCACGCCTGTAATCCCAGCACTTTGGGAGGCCGAGGCAGGTGGATCACCTGAGGTCAGAAGTTTGAGACCAGCATGACCAACAAGGTAAAACCCCATCTCTACTAAAAGAAAAAAAAAAAAAAAAGCCAGGCATGGTGGCAGGCGCCTGTAGTCCCAGTTACTTAGGAGGCTGAGACAGGATAATTGCTTGAACCTGGGAGGTGGAGGTTGCAGTGAGCCGAGATCGCACCACTGCACTCCAGCATGGGCTATTGAGCAATACTACATCTCAAAAAAAAAAAAAAGGAAAAAGGATTTCTGGTTCTGGGTCTTTGAGGAATCACCACACTGTCTTCCACAATGAACTAATTTACATTCCCAACAGTGTAAAAGCATTCCTATTTCTCCACAGCCTCGCCAGCACCTGTTGTTTCTTGACTTTTGTTGGTTTTTTTTTTTTTTTTTTGAGATGGAGTCTTGCTCTGTCGCCCAGGCTGGAGTGCAGTGGCACAATCTTGGCTCACTGCAACCTCCGCCTCCCGGGTTCACGCCATTCTCCTGCCTCAGCCTCCCGAATAGCTGGGACTACAGGCGCCCGCCACCACGCCCGGCTAATTTTTTGTATTTTTAATAGAGACGGGGTTTCACCGTGTTAGCCAGGATGGTCTCGATCTCCTGACCTTGTGATCTGCCTGCCTCGGCCTCCCAAAGTGCTGGGATTACCGGCGTGAGCCACCGTGCCCGGCGTTTCTTGACTTTTTAATAATCGCCATTTTGACTGGTGTGAGATGGTGTCTAAATGTGGTTTTGATTTGCATTTCTCTAATGATTGGTGATGTTGAGCTTTTTTTTGTATGTTTACTGGCTGCATAAACGTCTTCTTTTGAGAAGTGACTGTTCATGTCCTTTACCCACTTTTTAATGGTTTTTTTTTTCTTGTAAATTTGTTTAACTTCCTTGTAGATTCTGGATATTAGACTTTTGTGAATTGATAGATTGCAAACATTTTCTCCCATTCTGTAGGTTGTCTGTTCACTCTGATGATACTTTCTTTTGCTGAGCAGAAGCTCTTTAGTTTAGTTAGATCCCATTTGTCAGTTTTTGCTTTTGTTACAATTGCTTTTGACGTTTTTGTCATGAAATCTTTGCCCATGCCTGTGTCCTGAATGGTATTACCTAGATTTTCTTCTAGGGTTTTTATAGTTTTCGGGTTTTGCATCCAAGTCTTTCATCCATCTTGAGTTAATTTTTGTACAAGGTGTAAGGAACGGGTCCAGTTTCTATTTTCTGCATATGGCTAGCCAATTCTCCCAGCACCATTTATTAACCCACAGCCAATTTCATACTAAATGGGCATTTCCCTTGAAAACCAGCACAAGACAAGGATGCCCTCTTTCACCACTCCTATTCAACATAGTATTGGAAGTTCTGGCCAGGATAATCAGGCAAGAGAAAGAAATAAAGGATACTCAAATAGGAAGAGAGGAAATCAAACTATCTCTGTTTGCAGATGACATGATCCTATATCTAGAAAACCCCATCATCTCAGCCCAAAAGTTTCTTAAGCTGATAAGCAACTTCAGCAAAGTCTCAGGATACAAAATCAATGTGCAAAAATCACAAGCATTCCTATACACCAACAATAGACAGGCAGAGAGCCAAATCATGAAGGAACTCCCATTCACAATTGCTACAAAGAGAATAAAATACCTAGGAATACAGCTAACAAGGAAAGTGAAGGACATCTTCAAGGAGAACTACAATTCACTGCTCAAGAAAATCAGAGCGGACACAAACAAATGGAAAAACATTCCATGCTCATGGATAGGATGAATCAATATCGTGAAAATGGCCATACTGCCCAAAGTAATTTATAGATTCATTGCTATTCCCATTGAACTATCATTGACATTCCTCACACAATTAGAAAAAACTATAAAATTCATATGGAACCAAAAAAGGGCCCATATAGCCAAGACAATACTAAGCAAAAAGAACAAAGCTGGAGGCCTCAGGCTCAGACTTCAGACTATATTACAAGGTGATAGTAACCAAAACAGCATGGTACTGGTACAAAAACAGACACATAGACCAATGGAACAGAATAGAGATCTCAGAAATAAGACCACACATCTACAACCATCTGATCTTCAACAAACCTGACAAAAACAAGCAATGGGGAAAGGATTCCCTATTTAATACACCTTGTTTTGATTTTGATTTCAACACAGCGTGTGGTATTTGCATGCCATGTGATACAGTTTGAATATGTGTTCCCACCAAATCTCATACTGGATTATGATCCCCAATGTTGGAGGTGGGGGCCTGGTGGGAGGTGTTTGGATCATAGGGGTGGATCCCTCATTGCTTGGTGCTTTCCTTGCAATAGTAAGTGAATTCTCACAAGATCTGGCTATTGCAAAGTGTGGCATGTCCCCCAGTCCCAACTCTCTCTCTCTCTTGCTCCTGCTCCCACCACATGAGACAGCTACCCCCTCTTTGCCTTCTGCCATGACTGTAAGCTTCCTGAGGCCTCCCCAAAAGCAGAAGCCAGCCTTCTGCTTCCTATACGGCCTTCAGAACCATGAACCAATTAAACCTCTTTTCTTATCAATGATCCAGTCTCAGATATTTATAGCAGCACAAAATCGGCCTAATATAGCATGAAATATTGCTCAGCAATCAAAAGGAACACATCATTGATACATACAGCAGCTTGGATGGGCCTCAGGGGCATTGCACTGAGTGACAAAAGGATATCTCAAACGGTTGCATACTGGATGATCCCATTTACATCAGATTCTAGAAATGGAAGATTATAGAGATGGAGAACAAATTAATGGATACCAGGAGTTAGGGATGGCAAGGGAAGGAGAAGGGTGTAGGTGTGAATATAAAAGGGTAGCCCAAGGGAGGCCCTTGTGAGACGGAAGAGTTCTGTACAGTGACTGCGGTGATGGTGACGCGAATCTACAACTGTGACAAATTGGCATAGAACTAGACACCTACTTTATGCCAATGTCAAATTCCTGGTTTTTATGTTGTACTCTAATTACGTAAGATGTAACCATTAGAGGAAACTGGAAAAAGAGCACATGGGATTCTTCTGTTCTATCATTGTAGACTTCCTGTGACTCTAGAACCATTTCAAAAGAGAAAGTTCAAAAATTCAGTCAGAAGCACACGCACACATATGCACGCATGCACACACACACATATGCACGCATGCACACACATATGCACGCACACACACATATGCACGCACACACGCACATGCACGCACACACACATATGCACGCACACAGTATGTGACCATCTTCCATGTCCCTGCCCACTAGGCATAATAGCCCTCACTCTGCCCTCAACCCCGCAAATCTCATCCTTATCAACCTCGGCTCTTTCCAGCATGTTTCTCCTGCCTTGGTGCTTCACTCTGAGACACAGGGAATGTTAGACACGCCCAGCCTCCAGCCTAGCGTATGATATTCTTAAAGTGCAGGCCGTAGTCTGGTACACCGTATTCAGCTGAGATGTTTGTGAAAGTGGAGGGGATAACACGCCTCACACAAAACTTACCGCAGTGGTTCTCAAAGCAGCATTCTGGAGCCATAGCATCAGCATCACCTGGGAACTTACTAGGAATGAAAATGACTGGATTCACCCCAGACCTACTGAAGCAGAAGCCCTGGGGGCTCAGAAATCTATTCTTTAAGCCTCCAGGTGATTCTTATGCTCATGGAAGTTTGAGAACCGCTGATCAATGCATTCAGTGACTCAGAAACAGAGTCCCGGACTCTACAGGTTTGTTGGTTGGTTGGTTGGTTGGTTGGTTGGTTAGTTTGTTTGTTTTTGTCACCCATATTCAACCAGCTGGACTCCACAGTATAGCAAGCCACTCCGATTATTCTTCTGCATGTTATATGTGATAAACCATCCACCTAGAGTAGGATTGGGGGCAGCATCTTAACATCTAACTACTTAGGACACCCACCCTGTTTACAGGCAGAAATAAAGGATTTTTAAAACAAAGCAAATCTGTGAAAGAACCAACTGAATTAAATCGAGAAGTCTAGGCAGAGAGGAGAGAGAGAAGGGGTCCGTGTACCTCATACGCTGTGCACCAGAATGGACCCTGCAGAACCTACCTGCTACCGGGGAAGGTGGTTCTGTTGGTAACCGGCTGGGGGTCACAGAGGTTCCTGGGAAATCAGAAAATGAGATAAATCTGTGCTCTGTCGCTGTGGGTCCTGAACAAATAACGAAACATCTCCGTGACTGAGTTTCCTCACCGGAAAAATGAGCCTAAAGTAGCTTACATCACTGGACTGTTGTGGATGTTAATAAGCATTTGAGCTGGGTGCAGTGCCTCATGCCTGTAATCCCAGCACTTTGGGAGGCTGAGGAGGGCAGATCACTTGAGGTCAGGAGTTCAAGCCCAGCCTGGCCAGTATGGTGAAACCCCGTCTCCACTAAAAATACAAAAATTAGCCAGGCGTGGTGGTGTGCACCTGTAATCCCAGCTGCTCGGGAGGCTGAGGCAGGAGAATCACTTGAACCTAGGAGGCAGAGGTTGCAGTGATCTGAGATCGCACCACTGCACTCCAGCCTGGGTGACGCAGTAAGACTCCATCTGAAAAAAAAAGGCTTAGCCAGGCGTGGTGGCTCACACCTGTAATCCCAGCACTTTGAGAGGCCGAGGCAGGCAGATCACCTGAGGTCAAGAGTTCAAGACCAGCCTGGCCAACATGGTGAAACCCTGTCTCTACGAAAAATACAAAAATTAGCTGGGCATGATGGCAGGTGCCTGTAATCCCATCTACTCAGGAGGCTGAGGCAGGAGAATCGCTTAAACCCAGGAGGTGGAGGTTGCAGTGAACTGAGATCACTCCACTGCACTCCAGCCTGGGTGACAAAGTGAGACTCCCCCCAAAAAAAAAAAAAAAAAAAAAAGCAGCAGCATTTGTAAAGCACACCTGGCACATTCTGGGCTATTAACAAGGAAATGCATGCAGCTCCCGTCCACCTTTTTCAACCTCAGTTCTATTTCTTCTGGATTCCTGTGTCCTACCCCTCACTGTGACCCTGGGGGCAAAACAGATTTTTCTACCAAAAACTAAATGATGTATTTTGTTTGATTTAATATGACATTGTTAAATGTACTGATCAGTGGCGTTGGGTATGTTCACATTGTGGTACAATATGTTGACCTCTAGAACTTATTTTTCTTGCAAAACTGAAATTCTGTGCCCATTAAACACTAATTCCTTCTCTCTCCTCTTTCTGGCCCTTAACAACCACCATTGTACTTTGTGTTTCTACAGTGTTGACATTAGATACCTCCTTTGACTAGAATCATACAGTAGTTGTCCTTTTGTGACTGACTTAGCATAATGTCCTCAAGGTATATCCATGTTGTAGTATGTGTCAGAATTTCCTTCTTTTTTAAGGCTGCATAATATTCCATTGCATGTATATAACCACATTATGAGGTATGCTGCTCTTTTTTGAAAGAAACCCCCTTTAAGAATGGTAGTCAAGTCCGACGCGGTGGCTCACGCCTGTAATCCCAGCACTTTGGGAGGCCGAGGCGGGCAGATCATGAGGTCAGTTCAAGACCAGCCTGACCAACATAGTGAAACCCCGTCTCTACTAAAAATACAAAAATTGGCCGGGCATGGTGGCAGGCACCTGTAATTCCAGCTACTCGAGAGGCTGAGGCAGCAGAATCGCTTGAACCCGGAAGGCGGAGGTTGCAGTGAGCTGAGATCGCGCCACTGCACTCCAGCCTGGGTGACAGAGTGAGACTTCGTCAAAAAAAAAAAAAAGAAACCTCCATTCTCCCAGCTGCCTGTAGCCCAGGGCTTCCTGCCCTCCCACTTCCTTCCCACCTCTGGCCCCGCCCCTGCAGCCCAGGGCTTCCTGCCCTCCCACTTCCTTCCCACCTACGGCCCCGCCCCTGCAGCCCAGGGCTTCCTGCCCTCCCACTTCCTTCCCACCTACGGCCCCGCCCCTGCAGCCCAGGGCTTCCTGCCCTCCCACTTCCTTCCCACCTACGGCCCCGCCCCTGCAGCCCAGGGCTTCCTGCCCTCCCACTTCCTTCCCACCTACGGCCCCGCCCCTGCAGCCCAGGGCTTCCTGCCCTCCCACTTCCTTCCCACCTACGGCCCCGCCCCTGCAGCCCAGGGCTTCCTGCCCTCCCACTTCCTTCCCACCTCTGGCGCCGCCCCTGCAGCCCAGGGCTTCCTGCCCTCCCACTTCTTTCCCACCTATGGCCGCGCCCCTACAGCCCAGGGCTTCCTGCCCTCCCACTTCCTTCCCACCTACGGCCCCGCCCCTGCAGCCCAGGGCTTCCTGCCCTCCCACTTCCTTCCCACCTACGGCCCCGCCCCTGCAGCCCAGGGCTTCCTGCCCTCCCACTTCCTTCCCACTTATGGCCCCTCCCTTGGAATGGCCATCAGGACCTATAAAGGCTGAGGAAGAAAGGTTTGGTCTGCACTACCCCTACCTGTGACCACAAGCTCCAGGGGGTCGCTGGGGGCTGACCACAGGTATGGGTCCCTGCTGGAGAAGCTGTAGCATCGGTAGGTTCCGCTGTGGGCGGCGGTCACCGTGATGATGGGAAAACTAGCCCTGTACCATCTCTCGGGATTCTTGTAGGGCGCAGGGTCCCCTTCCTTGTACAGAGCAAATTGGTCAAAGCCATACCGAGTCTGACACTGTAGGGTTACGTCCCCTCCTGACGACACCGCCGGGCCGGGCTGGGCTGAGAGCGAGGGTTTGGCAAAAACTCCTGGGAGAAAAAGAAAGTCTGATGTTGAAGGCAGGAGCCAGCATCTCAGCTGAGACTGGGGAGGTCCCCACACCTGCCTAAGAGCTGGGGAGCTTTTTGGCTGTATCCCTCCCAGAGAGCGCACTCCCCCACCCAAGCTCACAGAGAGGTCGAGTCACCCAGTGGTTGAGGAAGGAGGCTGTGCTCACGTCCTAGTGCTTGGGTGCAAATCCTAGTTCTGCCTTCAGGGGCCTGGTGGCCCTGGAGACAAATCTCCCTCTGTATCTGAGCCTCACTGCCTTGTTCTGTTAAAATGGGGATGACTGAATGAGACAGTACACAGTAATTTGCAGAGTGCCTGTTGCCTAGCAAGCGCTGGAGTAAGTAAATAGCTTAAGCTTATACTGTGCTGTAAGCTTGTATTGCCACATACAATTGTTACGTTGTAAATGTGGCTGACAGTGCTAGCTTCCGGGTGCCTTCCAAACTTATGATGTATATCAGTTCAGTGAATCCTCAGAGACCTATGGAGTCCTCACTCTTAATGTCCCTATTTTATAAATGAAACTAAGGCACATGGCATTAAATAATTTGTCCAACTCTAGGTAACAATACTGCAGTGTACAGCTGAAATTTGCTAAGAGGGTAGATTATAAGTATTCTCACACACAAAAAAGTTAACTGTGTCAGGTGATGTATGTTAATTAGCTTGCTAGTAGTAACTGTCTCACAGTGGATTCGTATATCAAAACATCAACTTGTACACCTTGGATATATTCCATTTTTGTTTTTCAATTATACCTCAACAAAGCTGGACATATTTTAATTTAAAAATAAATAAAAAACTTGTCCAAGATCATAAGTGGCAGAGTTGAAATCTGCACTCACAGAGTTTGATTCCAGGGTCTCCGCTCCTAAACACGAACCTACACTACTCTGATGTGAGGTTGTTGTCATAGACCGGTGTGGTGATGCATGCCTGCACACAGGAGTCAGAAAAACAAAGGTTGAGGCTGGGTGCGGCGGCTCACACCGGTCATCCCAGCACTTTGGGAGGCCAAGGTGGGAGGATCGCTTGAGCCCAGGAAGGCGAGGCTGCAGTGAGCTATGATCACTGTACACTAGCCTGGGTGACAGAGTGAGACCTTGTCTCAAAAAAAGACAGAGAGAGAAAGCAAAAGAAAGGAAGTAAGGAAGATAAAAATATAAGCTGCCTAATAATTATGGCATTCACTCAACAAGAAGAAAAAGAAAGAAAGAGGAAGGAAGGGAGGGAGGGAGGAAGGAAGGAAGGAAATATATAAGCTGCCTGATAACTGTAACATTCACTCAGCAATATTTTCTCTTAATTTTCACTTAAGCAACTATTATGTGTCTGTCTGTATTCTTTTTTTGTTGTTTCATTTGTTTTGTTTTGTTTTGTTTTGTTTTGAGACGGAGTCTCGCTCTGTCACCCAGGCTGGAGTGCAATGGCATATATATATATATATATATATATATATATATATATATATATATATATATATATATATATTTTTTTTTTTTTTTTTTTTTTTTTTTTTTTTGGGAAACAGAATCTCACTCTGTTGCCCAGGCTGGAGTGCAGTGGCATGATCCCAGCTCACTGCAACCTCCACCTCCTGGGTTCAAGCGATTCTCCTGCCTCAGCCTCCCGAGTAGCTGGGACTACAGGCATGCACCACCATGCCCAGTTAATTTTGTATGTTTAGTAGAGACAGGGTTTCACCATGTTAGCCAGGCTGATCTCGAACTCCTGACCTCAGGTGATCCGTCCACCTCGGCCTCCCAAAGTGCTGGCATTACAGGCGTGAGCCACCGTGCCCGACCAGGAATTAAAAATAGACAACCACCACCAAGATAAAAAAAGGTATACTTCACATACCAGATAGTGAGGAGGGCCACTTTGACTAGGGTGGTGGGGGATATACTTAGCGAGAAGAGAGTATTTGAGTCTGACCCTGAAAGAAGTAATGAGGCAGCCAGGCTGGTCCATTCTAGTAGCAGAGAGGAGGCCAGTGATGCTGTGGAGGGGAGTGAGGCAGGGAAGAGGGGAGGGAGGCAGGATTTATAACGCGGAATAGACCACAGTGCAGCTGGCCAGGAATTAGGGTGGCGTGAGTGAGGCACTCTCCTGGGATGTAAAATTTAATTATTCCCAAACAATTAACATATTTGAAAAAATTATTGAAAATTTGAAGAGTAGGTCGTTAAAACTCACATTATTCTGTTTGAATACTTTATTCCCCTGAAAGATTTATTAGAATTTTACATTCTAGGCTTTTGTGGATGCAAGCGCATCAGTGCTATTTCCAAAACCTACTTCTAGAAAATAACCATTTAAAAGTGCACTAACTGGGTGCACCTATAGTCCCAGCTACTAGGGAGGACCACTTGAGCCCAGGGATTTGAGGCTAAAGTGAGCTATGATCATGCCTGTGAATACAGCGAGTGTACTAAAGCCTGGGCAACATAGTAAGACCTCTTCTCTTTTTTTTTTTTTCCCAAGACGGAGTCTTGCTCTGTCGCCCAGGCTGGACTGCAGTGGTGCAATCTCGGCTCACCGCCTCCCAGGTTTAAGCGATTCTCCTGCCTCAGCCTCCGGAGTAGCTGGGATTACAGGAGTGCGCCACCGCGCCCAGCTAATTATTATTATTTTTTTTAGTAGAGACGGGGTTTCACCATGTTGGCCAGGCTGGTCTCAAACTCCTGACCTTAAGTGATCCACCCACCTCAGCCTCCCAAAGTACTGGGATTACAGGCGTGAGCCGCCGCGCCCGGCCCAACCTCTTCTCTTAAAAAAAATAAATAAATAAGAAAAGAAATTAGAATATTTGCACCAATCAAGAGTCTAAGGAGACATAAATACTAAATGCACTGTGGGGCCCTGGACGGGGTCTGGGAACAGAAATAGGATATTAGTGGAAAGACTGGTGAAATTCAAATAGCCTGGAGTTTACTTGATATAATATAGTTGTGTCTATGGTTAGTTTTTTGTTTGTTTTTTGATACAGGGTCTCACTCTGTCACCCAGGCTGGAGTGCAGTGGCGTGATCACAGCTCCCTGCAGCCTCGGCCTCCCTGGCTCAAGCGATCCTCCTGCCTCAGCCTCCTGAGTAGCTGGGACTATAGGTGTATGCCACCATGCCCCACTAATTTTTAATTTTGTTTAAAGATGAGGTCTCACTATGTTGCCCAGGCTGGTCTTGAACTCCTGAGCTCAAGCAATCCTCCCGCCTCAGCCTCCCAAAGTGCTGGGATTACAGGTGTAAACCACTGGGACCAGTGCTACGTTTATTTTTTGGTTGTAACAAATGTAAGATGTTAACATGAGGGGATCCTGGGTGAAATATTTCCATTAATATTATCTTTGGAACTTTTCTGTCAGTCTAAAAATTACTCCAAAACAAAGTTTTAAAAAGAATCCCGAGCCAAGCACGGTGGCCCGTGACCGTAGTCCCTGCTACTCATGAGGCTGAGGCAGGAGGATTGCTCAAGGCAAGGAGCTCCAGGCTGCAGTGAGCTATGACTGCTCCTATGAACAGCCACTGCACTCCGGCCTGGGCAGTGTAGCAAGACCCCATCGCTAATTTTTTTAAGTGCATTAAAACACAGATAAAGGGTTGCCTGTTTTTCGTTTTGGCACAGACTCTGGTATGACTTGACACAGGCACTGGCTGATTCTGCCTTTATTTGAAATTCTGGTTTTTTTCATTGTGGATGTTTTTGCAATTTATTTTGATTTTTTTAAAAATTGCATGAAAATGTTATTCACAGCCAGATGCAGTGGCTCACGCCTGAAATCCCAACACTTTGGGAAGCCAAGGTGGAAGGATAGCTTGAGCCCACAGGAGTTCGAGACCAGCCTGAGCAACATAGCGAGACCCTATCTCTCTCTCTTTTGTATTTTAATGCCTTTTGTGAAAACTGTCAAGAGACCCCATCTCTATAAAAACATAAAAAATGAGCTGGGCGTGGTGGTGCACACCTGTAATCCTAGCTACTTGGAGGGCTGAGGCGGGAGAATCGCTTGAGCCCTGGAGGTGGAGGCTGCAGTGAGCCAAGATCGCGCCACTGCTCTCCACCCTGGGTGACGCAGCAAGACCCTGTGTCCAAAAAACAAAATATTATTCACATTGATCCATAAATGTCGTGGCACCACCACCCGCTAGGCCAGTGCCTCGTTTGCCTCACCCTAATCCCTGCCCTCAATGTCCCCCGTATTTGTGTCCTGAACGGAGGACCACGCAGTCCCAGGCTCCGATCCCCCTTCCTTTACCCGTGGCAACGAGCTCCAGCTGGTCGCTGGGCAGGGACCAGAGGCTTCCGTTCTGGTAGGAGCAGCGGTAGCGTCCAGCCAGACTTCTCTTCATGGCCGGGATGAAGAGGACTGCCTGATCCTGGTACCTGCTGGAACTCAGCTTCTCCAGGCGGTACAGGTCCACGCCCGGAGGTCCCTGGCACCGGAGGGTCACTGGCTTCTCCAGGGGCACCAGGGAGCTGGGCAGAGCCTGGAGGGAGGGCTTGGGGAGCGGTCCTGGAAGAGGAGCAGGGCTGGGTCAGCCTCCCCGCAGACCCCGCCTGGACCCCGCTGCTCCCGCGCTGGCGGATCCCGCAGGAGGGAAGGGGTCTGGGGAAGGACTCACCACTCTGCGCTGGCACACGCCCCAGACACAGCCCTGAGGAAAGAAGAAAGGGACCAGATGCCAGGACTCGCTTTTATGGACATTCCTGCCTGCTGGGCGCGGTGATAAGACATTTGCATGCATATGCTTTACTCTGTCCTAATAATTTCTTCAAAAGACACACAGGAATGTAATTTAAGTGAGAGAAACCGGTCAGAAAAAGCCACATAGTTTATGAGGTCATTTACATGAAATATCCAGAATAGGTAAATCTATAGGAGATGGAGAAGAAAGCAGATCCATGGCTGGGGGTGGTGGGAGAGGAGGGCAAGGCATGGTGGCGTACTGCTCTCTGTGGACTTGTTCGTGTTAGACACGGTGGGCTCGTTCGTGTTAGACACGGTGGACTCGTTCGTGTTAGACACGGTGGGCTCGTTCGTGTTAGACACGGTGGGCTCGTTCGTGTTAGACACGGTGGACTCGTTCGTGTTGTGTTAGACACGGTGGACTCGTTCGTGTTAGACGCGGTGGACTCGTTCGTGTTAGACACGGTGGACTCGTTCGTGTTGTGTTAGACACGGTGGACTCGTTCGTGTTGTGTTAGACACGGTGGACTCGTTCGTGTTAGACACGGTGGGTTCGTTCGTGTTAGACACGGTGGGTTCGTTCGTGTTAGACGCGGTGGGTTCGTTCGTGTTAGACGCGGTGGACTCCTTCGTGTTGTGTTAGACACGGTGGACTCGTTCGTGTTAGACACGGTGGACTCGTTCGTGTTAGACACGGTGGACTCGTTCGTGTTAGACACGGTGGACTCGTTCGTGTTGTGTTAGACACGGTGGACTCGTTCGTGTTGTGTTAGACACGGTGGGCTCGTTCGTGTTGTGTTAGACACGGTGGACTCGTTCGTGTTGTGTTAGACACGGTGGGCTCGTTCGTGTTAGACGCGGTGGGCTCGTTCGTGTTAGACGCGGTGGGCTCGTTCGTGTTGTGTTAGACACGGTGGGCTCGTTCGTGTTGTGTTAGACACGGTGGGCTCGTTTGTGTTGTGTTAGACACGGTGGGCTCGTTCGTGTTAGACATTGCCCATTGACTTCCTCAGTGGATGTGAGGAATGGGACCTGAGACATTGCTGTCCCTTCGTTTCCTCCCTTCAGTCTCCCAATATTAAATAATATCCAAGTACATTACAATAGTATGCAATTGTATAGACAAGTATTGTAAATACTATTGCATATTGTATATTATTGTATTTTATTGTCTATGTAATATATGCGATAAAACCCCACACTAATGGGATGCATTGGGCTCCAAGGATGGAGCAGGATGGAGCCTCAGCGTGTAAGTCAGGACGTCTCAGCATGTGCTGGCCATGGGTTTCCCGGTATTTACAACATTTGCTTGAATCAGTATTCCATGATTACATGATAGGATATAATATATATAATAATCGTTTCAAATAGCCTGAAGGAGGATGGGGAAAGTTCCCAACACAGAAAGGATGCATGTTTGAGAAGATGGGTGTGCTACTTACCCTGATCTGATTACTATATGTATATACACATATAGTGCATATATGTAAACCTACATCTATACATACATGTGTATGTACATATACACGTGTGTACATACACACGTGTATATGTATGTATATGTATATATGTATGCATGTGTGTGTGTGTGTGTGTGTGTGTGTATACATATGTATACAAATACATGTACATAAGCGATCCCCTCCTGGAATTGCTTGAGCCCAGGAGGTCAAGTCTGCTGTGAGGTAAGATTGCACCACTGGCCGGGCACGGTGGCTCATGCCTATAATCCCAGCACTTTGGGAGGCCAGGGTGGGCGGATCACAAGGTCAGGAGTTCAAGACCAGCCTGGTCAACATGGTGAAACACCATCTCTACTAAAAATACCAGAAATTAGCTGGGCATGGTGGCACGTGCCTGTAATCCTAGCTACTGGGGAGGCTGAGTCAGGAGAATCACTTGAACCCGGGAGGCGGAGGTTGCAGTGAGCCAAGATCACGCCACTACACTCCAGCCTGGGCAACAGAGCAAGACTCCATCTCGAGGAAAAAAAAAAATGATATTGCCCCATTGCACTCCAGACTGACAACAGAGCAAGACCCTGTCTCAGAAAACGAAGAGGAGGAGGAAAAAAAAAGTACTAATTATCTGAAATTCCAATTTAACCAGGCATCCAGTGTTTTATCTGGTAACCCTCATTCTTACACACACACACACACACACACACACACAAAGGCGGGATAGTTGTCATTCCCACTGTAAACATAAGGAAACTGGGCAGAGGCCAAGCAACCTTGTGTAGCTCACATAGCAAGAAGTGGGTGAACCCAGCTCATGTCTTGACTCTGAGCTCAGAGAGTGACAACTTGTCACCAGCGCCCCCATAGCCACCACCCTTTGTCCACCCCAGGCTCCCTCTGCACCCCAACGCAAGCTCCGGCCGCTTCTCTGTCCCCCTCCTCCTGCCGCATCACAGCCCACCTCAGCCTCTTTGTAGGTTTCCATGCGACGCTGTACCATGGCTGGGAGTCTTCCAGGCGCCGTGCTGAGCGCCTTCTGTGCATGGACTCCAAGTCGCCATAATCGTACGGGTTACCCACCATTATCAGTCCCCTCTTATACATCAGGCTAGTGAGACAGTATCTTATCCACAGTCCTACAGCTGGCAGGAGTAGATTCAAACCCTAGCAGCACCAATTAGTGGTAAAGAGTGTGGACTTGGGAACTTACAGGAGTAGAGAGCACAGTGGTGGTTACCGGGGCGGTGGGGTAAGGTTTGGGGAGATGTTGGTCAGAGGAGGACAGTTTCAGTTGGACAAGAGGAGTATGTCTTGGAGATCTACTGCACATCATGGTGACTGTAGTTAATAACAACATATTGTACACTTGCATATCACCGATAGTAGATTTTAAATGTTCTCACCGGCCGGGCGCGCTGGCTCACACCTGTAATCCCATTTTGGGAGGCCAAGGTGGGCGGATCACCTGAAGTCAGGAGTTCGAGAGCAGCCTGACCAACATGGTGAAACCCTGTCTCTACTAAAAATACAAAAATTAGCGGGGCGTAGTGGCAGGAGCCTGTAATCCCAGCTACTTGGGAGGCTGAGGCAGGAGAATCGCTTGAACCTGGGAGGTGGAGGTTGCAGTGAGCCAACGTCATGCCACTGCGCTCCAGTCTGGGCAACAGAGTGAGACTCCATGTCAAAAAATAAAAATAAATAAAAATAAATGAGCGTGGAATACTACTCAGCCATTAAAAGGAGTGAAATAATGTCTTTTGGCCAGGCACAGTGGCTCACATCTGTAATGCCAGCACTCTGGGAGGCCGAGGTGGGTGGATCACGAGGTCAAGAGATCAAGACCATCCTGCCCAACATGGTGAAACCCCATCTCTACTAAAAATACAAAAATTAGCCGGGCATGGTGGCGGGTGCCTGTAGTCCCAGCTACTCGGGAGGCTGAGGCAGGAGAATCACTTAAACCCGGGAGGTGGAGTTTGCAGTAAGCCGAGATCACACCACTGCACTCCAGCCTTGGTGAGAGAGCGAGATTCCGTCTTTAAAAAAAAAAAAAAAAAGTCTTTTGCAGCAACTTGGATGGAGCTGGAAGGCATTATTCTAAGTAAAGTAATACAGGAGTGGAAAACAAAAATCTGTATATTCTCACTTATAAGTGAGAGCTAAGCTGTGGGTATGCAAAGGCATGCAGAGTGATGTAATGGACTTCAGAGACTCAGAAGGGAAGGGCAGAAGTGGGGCAGGGATGAAAAACTACACATTAGGTACAAGGTACACTAGTCAGGTGACAGGTGCACTAAAATCTCAGAATTCACCAGAATATAATTCATCCATGTAACCAAGAACCACTTGTATCCCAAAAGCTACTGAAGCAACAAGCCAGATGCAGTAACCTGTACAGGCCACACCTGTAACCCCAACACTTTGGGAGGCCGAGGTGGGTGGATCGCTTGAGCCCAGGAGTTCAAGACCAGCCTGGGCAACATAGCGGACCCCCGTAACTAAAAAAATTACAAAAACAAGCCAGGCATGATGGTGTACAACTGTAGTTCCAGATACTCAGGAGGCTGATGGGGAGGCACTGGTTGAGCCTGGGAGGTTGAGGCTGCAGTGAGCCATGATCATGCCACTGCCCTCCTGCCTGGGTGACAGAAGTGAGGCCCTATCTCAAATAAAATTAAATAAATAAAAGTTAAAACAGGCTGGGTGCGGTGGCTCACGCCTGTAATCCCAGCACTTTGGGAGGCCGAGGCGGGTGGAACCTGAAGTAAGGAGCTTGAGACCAGCCTGGCCAACATGGTGAAACCCCGCCCCTACTAAAAATACAATAATTAGCCAGACCTGGTGGCAGATGCCTGTAATCCCAACTATTCGGGAGGCTGAGGCAGGAGAATCACTTGGACCCGGGAGGCAGAGTTTGCAGTGAGCTGAGATCATGCCATTGCATTCCAGCCTGAGCGACCGACTGAGCGAGACTCCATCTCAAAAAACAAACAAAAAGAAAAAAAGAATACATCCATGGATGGATAATGAATGAGAGGTTGTTTATATTCACAGTTAACCCTCTCATCTCCAGTAATGCAACCATCTTCTTCCTGCTTAGCCTTTTGGAGATGCTGTCCCTTTAGTGGTCAAATTCTGAAGAAATCAGGAAATAATGCATTCGACATGCCCAGCACAAGTGAAGATCAGGCAGCAGAAATGCATTCGACCTGCCACCCATCCATCAGGAGACTATTTACTCCACTACTGTAGGGGATACTGACAAATTAAATCCATACCTAGTCCAGATATCAATTCCACAATTTTTTTTTTTTTTTTTTTGAGACGGAGTTTCGCTCTTGTTGCCCAGGCCAGAGTGCAATGGTGTGATCTTGGCTCACCGCAACCTCCACCTCCCAGGTTCAAGCGATTCTCCTGCCTTAGCCTCCAGAGTAGCTGGGATTACAGGCATGTGCCACCACACCCGGCTAATTTTGTATTTTTAGTAGAGATGGGGTTTCTCCATGTTGGTCAGGCTGGTCTCAAACTCCCGACCTCAGATGGCCCACCCGCCTCGGCCTCCCAAAGTGTGTAAGCCATGGCACTCAGCCTTTTTTTTTTTTTTTTTTTTTTTTTTTGAGATGGAGGCTCTCTCTGTTGCCCAGGCTGGAGTGCAATGCCTGACCTCAGCTCACTGCAACTTCTGCCTCCCAGTTTCAAGCAATTCTCCCACCTCAGCCTCCCACGTAGCTGGGATTACAAGCACCCGCCATCACGCCCGGCTAATTTTTGTAGAGATGGGGTTTCACCATGTTGACCAGGCTGGTCTTGAACTCCTGACCTCAGGTGATCCACCCACCTCGGCCTCCCAAGGTTGAGATTACAGGCGTGAGCCACTGTGCCTGGCCCACATTTTTTAAAAAAGGGGCAACTGCAGTGTAGTAGAACAAAGTTGTGACCAATGCTAGGATACTCTGTTCATTTCCTGACCCAGCCATGAATACACTGGAATAACTCATGCAAAATGCCAGCTCGCTGGCCCCCCGTTTCCCCACCCAACAAATGAAGGGGCTCTTACAGGTTCCTTTTTGTCCTGAAATTCATCACCAATGCAAATTTCTTAAAAATCCTTTGTCTGGCAGTCCATGCCTGTCCTTCAGCATTTCCCAGATCTGACCCTCAGGACTCACCAAGACAGAAGAGGGCGGTCGGGGATGGAGACATGGTTCCTCAGCCCTGTCCTGAGCTCTGTGGCCAGGGAGGGAAGTGGTGGGAGCCTGGGGCACAGGCTCAGGATGTGATGAGGATGAAGAATGCTCTCCTCCCTTCCTCCACCAGCCCCGGCCTTTCCTAATTGAGACTCATCGAGCCGTAGCCGGCTCCTCAGTACAGTGACTTGCACACAAGCTCCAAGGAGCCGCGCTTATCTCCTCTGGCCAGCCTGGCGTTGCACCGTTTGTCCGCCTGCTGGGGCCTGGTCTGTGTTCCCGTGCTCCCATAAACTCCCTGATGTCACTAGGAAAATACGCATCAAAACCACAGTGAGATATGACTTCACACCTTCTGGAATGGCTGTATTTTTTTTTTTTCTTTTGAGACAAAGTCTCGTTCTTTTTGCCCAGGTTGGAGTGCAGTGGCGCCATCTCGGCCCACTACAACCTCCACCTCCCAGGTTCAAGCGATTCTCCTGCCTCAGCCTCCCAAGTGGCTGGGATTATAGGTATGTACCACACCAGGCTAATTTTTGTATTTTTAGTAGAGATGGGGTTTCACTGTGTTGGCCAGGCTGGTCTTGAACTCCTGACCTCAGTTGATCCACCTGCCTCGGTCTCCCAAAGTGCTGGGATTACAGGCATGAGCCACTGCACCCGACCGGCTATAATTTTTTTTAATGGAAAACAGCAGATATTGGTGAGTATGCAGAGAAATTGAACTGCGCGTGCATTGCTGGCAGGGACGTAACATGGCGCCCCTGCTGTGGAAAACAGTTCCAGCAGCTCCTCCAGAAGTTAAACGTGGGATTGCCATAAAATCCAGCAATTCCACTTCGGGGTACACACCTAAAAGAACTGAAAACAGGGTCTCTAACATATTTGTACACAGTGTTCATAGCAGCTTTATTCACAATAGCCAAAAGGTGAAACCACCCACATGTCCATCAACAACAATGGATAAACAACATGTGGTATATACACACAAGGTAATATCAACCAGCCTTAACTAAAAGAATAAAAATCAGCCAGGCACAGTGGCTCACGCCTGTAATCCCAGCACTTTGGGAGGCCGAGGCGGGCGGATCACCTGAGGTCAGGAGTCCGAGACCAGCCTGGTTAACATGGTGAAACCCCATCTCTACTAAAAATACAAAAATTAGCTGGGCGTTAAATTAGCCGGGCATGGTGGCAGGTGCCTGTAATCCCAGCTACTTGGGAGACGGAGGCATGAGAATCGCTTGAACCTGGGAGGCAGAGATTGCGGTAAGCCGAGATCGCACCACTGCACTCCAGCCTGGGCGGCAGAGTGAGACTGTCTCAAAAATAAAAATAAGGCCGGGCGTGGTGGCCCATGCCTGTAATCCTAGTACTTTAGGAGGCTGAGGCAGGCAGATTGCCTGAGCTCAGCAGTTCAAGACCAGCCTGGGCAACACAGTAAAACCCCCAAAAAATACAAAAAAAAAATAGCCGGGCATGGCGGCAGGCACCTGTAGTCCCAGCTACTCCGGAGGCTGAGACAGGAGAATGGCTTGAACCCGGGACGCGGAAGTTGCGGTGAGCCGAGATCGCGCCATTGCACTCCAGCCTGGGTGACAGAGCGAGATTCTGTCTCCAAAAAATAAAAAATATTATAAAAGAATAAATTCAGATACATGCTACAACGTGATGGACCTTGAAGACATTATGCTAAAGGAAATATTCCGGACTTGACAGATAAATACTGCATTGTGCCGCTTATCTGAGGTATCGAGAGGAGTCAAATTCATAGAGACAGGGATTAGAATGGTGGTTGCCAAGGCCTGGGAAAAGTGGGGAGTTACTATTTAATAGGGAGCGCTTAGGTTGAAGATGATGACAAAGTCTGGGGGATCCATAGTGGTGATGGTTACACAACACTGTAAATGTATTTATATTTAATGCCATTGACTGTTTTTTGTTTTTTGGTTTTTTGAGACGGAGTCTCACTCTGTCGCCGAGGCTGGAGTGCAGTGGCGCGATCTTGGCTCACCGCAACCTCCGCCTCCCAGGTTCAAGCGATTCTCCTGCCTCAGCCTCCTGAGTAGCTGGGACTACAGGTGCGTGCCACCATGCCTAGTTGATTTTTTGTATTTTTAGTAGAGACGGGGTTTCACCGTGTTAGCCAGGATGGTCTCGATCTCCTGACCTTGTGATTTGGCCTCCCAAAGTGCTGGGAATACAGGCATGAGCCACCGCGCCCGGCCAGTGCCGTTGACTTGTATGTGCACTTACAGGTGGTTAAAATGAGAACTATCAGGGTGTTGATATCTAAAAACCTCCCTGCCATCATCTTCCCTACATCTCTCATTCAGTGACCATGGTTGAATGCCTGCCACCTTTCAAATATTATGTCAGGCACTCAGTATTGGCAGTTTTATCCATTATAAATGCTTTAAGCTGCATAGAATTTTAAACGTGTTAATAAAAGTAGTTATAAATCTTTAATACATAAGCTGGCTTTAAAATTATTGGTAAAATAAGATTAGAAATGTCTTAAGAATTGTTGGCGTTTTTGTTTGCACTTATTGAACGAGTGGTTTCATGCTTATCCCTGCAGAATACTATGAGATTTGTCATAAGGGTTATAAAACTATAAACCCGGCTGGGCGTGGTGGCTCACGCCTGTAATCCCAACACTCTGGGAGGCCGAGGCAGGCAGATCACCTGAGGTCGGGAGTTTGAGACCAGCCTGACCAACATGGAGAAACGCCATCTCTACTAAAAATACAAAATTAGCTGGGTGTGGTGGCGCATGCCTGTAATCCCAGATACTCAGGAGGCTGAGGCAGGAGAATCGCTTGAACCCGGGAGGCAGAAGTTGCAGTGAGCCGAGATTGCGCCACTGCACTCCAGCCTGGGCAACAAGAGTGAAACTCCATCTAAAATAAATAAAAATAAAACATTTGTTTTTTGTAGAGTTGGGGTTTCACTATGTTGCCCAGGCTGGTCTTGAACTCCTCCTGGGCTCAAGCAATCCACCGACCTCAGCCTCCCAAAGTGCTGGGATTACAAGTGTGAGCCACTGTGCCTGGCCCTATTGGGTCCTTTTAAAAGATACATAAAAAATCAAATGCAACAGTGAAGTCAATCACCCGATGGCAGAAATTGGGGTGCTCCTGGCATGTGGTCGGTCGAAGCCAAGGACACTGCTCAGCATTCTGCAGTGCACAGGACGGCCCCGCCCAGGCGGAGAATGATCCGGTGACACATATAGGTGGGAAGGATGCACGAATGATGGCGTTTAGGAAGAATATTATCACTTCTTTCCCGTAAGAGCAACTTAGAGCAAGAAAATGGTATTATTCTTAGGGCCTTCTCTCTTATGGAGGCTCCAAGCCAGGGTTGCCATGGCAGAAGATGCTGGGCTTGCTTTTTCCTTGAGAGAACTGTACTCAAGATGATGTAACTGTCACCCCGGGTGCCACTTGGGTGCTTTGGAGAAGCGCTCAGACGCGACACGCCGTGACGACTCCGCGGCAGGCAGCCGGACCTGTCCTCTGGCGTGCGGTTCACGGGCTGTGTTTATCCCCCTGGTTCCTTCACAGCCACCTTGGGAAATACGTTGCCTCTGAATCACGCCAGGCAGGCTCTCACTGTGTGTGCTGCGGGGCTGGAAATCAGGGTGACACTCCGCTACCGAACAGCCTGACTAGGAAGCCAGAAAGACGCTGCCGGCTTTAGTTTGTCCTTTGACTTTCCTTGATATGAATGAAGATAGAGCACTTCCACACTGCACAACAGGAAAAGCCCAGAACGCTTCCTGGAGATAGCGAGGGGGTGATGCAGCGGACAGCTATGGCTGATGACCCCCTCACCTCTGACTCCCCCTCCCTCCCTGCTTTCTGAACGCACATCCATCACCAACCATAGGTTCCTGTTTGGGGTTTGCTGGCTGGAAAAAAAAAAAAAAAAAAAAGGAAAGCTGGCTTTCTAGTAAAAACCACTTCCTTTGCTCATTTATCAAACTCAAACGCTAGGAGGGCCACCTAACATCCTCCGTCCCACGCAATGGGGTGTTTCTGGAGCACTCCGGTTTATCAGGGACCCTGTCAGTTGCCATCGCACATGTATATGGGGCCAGCCCCTGTGCCACCGAAGAGGGGGGATATTGAAAACATGTTACAGCCAGGAGCGGTGCCCCCTTGGTTCAAGCAGTTCTTCTGCCTCAGCCTCCCTAATAGCTGGGATTACAGGCGTGCACCATCACGCCTGGCCACTGTTATGTAGTTTTTACCACAATTTAAAAAAGGAAAGAGTGCCTGGGTGAGTCCTACGCACCTATTCGGAGAACCAAAGGCTTTGAGGTTATCCTCGGCCCACCCATCTGATGGGAGTGTTTCTCAAACTTGCTTTTCCGTGATCTCCCAGTAAGAAATACCTACTACACACACACAGTCTCCGGTCGGCATGCTTAGGGTAGTCTTCCAATTCCCCCTCCTGGTATTTACACCCTGGAGTGGTCCGCTCCTCTTGGGCTGAACCTGTAACTTGCTCCCAAGCAAGAGCACACAGCAAGCTCACGCACGTGGTTGTTGGTGTGATTCTGTTTCTCCAGATTGTCTCCATTCCTCCCTGGCTTCTCCACAGGGCCGCTCACCATGGCAGCCGGCTCCATCACCACCAGCCAGCGAGAGGGCAAGACAAGAGGGCTGACGAGGGACGCTACCATCACAGAGGTCAGTTTTGTAACCTAACCACAAGACTAACCTACTGTCACTTCTGCCCTATCCTACTGCTAGAAGCCAGTCGCTACATCTCCCCCACACTCAAAGGGAGGTGGTCGCACCGTGGGGTCCACTGGAAGTTGCCTACCAGACTCAGGTCATCCCAAACACACCCTCTAGCCATTTGGTGTGGCATCGGAAAGAAAACTAAGGCCAGGTACGGTGGCTCATGCCTGTAATCCCAACAATTTGGGAGGCCATGGCGGAAGGGTCACTTGAGCCCAGGAGTTTGAGACCAGCCTGGGCAACATAGCAAATGTTATGTTGCCACCTCTACAAATAATTAGCCAAGTGTGGTGGCATGCACCTGTAGTCCCAGATACTCAGGAGGCTGAGGCAGGAGAATCACAGGTCGAGGTTGTAGTGAGCTGTGACGGCACTGCACTCCAGCCTTGGCAACACAGTAAGACCTCGTCTCTAAAAAAGCAAAAAGGGCTGGGTGCACTGGCTCACACCTATAATCCCAGCACTTTGGGAGGCCAAGACGGGTGGATCACCTGAGGTCAGGAGTTCAAGATAAGCCTGGCCAACATGGTGATACCGTCTTTAATTAGCCAGGTGTGGTGGTGGGCGCCTGTAATCCCAGCTACTCGGGAGGCTGAGGCATGAGAATCGCTTGAACATGGGAGACACAGGTTGCAGTGAGCTGAGATCATGCCATTGCACTCCAGCCTGGGCAACAGAGCGAGACTAGGTGGCTGTTCTGTGTACTGTGGGATATTGAGTAGCATCCCTGGCCTCCCCAGTATCTCAAATATGAAAACATGTTTTCTATCTCGATTACTGAGCTTTTCGGTGCCTCCTTCGGTTCTGCACCTAAGCTAAGAGCCCCTTCATCTCACCCTGATCTCTATCCAGTTTCTAACACAGCAGTCTTGTAAGATGCCCGGACTTAAACGGTTATTTCCTGTGAAACAGGTGAAAGGGGCTTTCATCTCTAAAAAGTCGGAACTTTTTTTTTTTTTTGAGACGGAATCTTGCTCTGTCACCCAGGCTGGAGGGCAGTGGCATGATCTCGGCTCACTGCAATCTCCGCCTCCCAGCTTCACACCATTCTCCTGCCTCAGCCTCCCGAGTAGCTGGGACTACAGGCGCCCACCACCATGCCCAGCTAATTTTTTGTATTTTTTTAGTAGAAACAGGGTTTCATTGTGTTAGCCAGGATGGTCTCGATCTCCTGACCTCGTGATCCACCGCGCCCGGCCAAGTCTGAACTTTTGCATGGCCTGTTGCCCTGGTGATAAACTGATGCCTTGTTTCCTAAAAGGAATAAAGCCATGAGTTGCCTTTGTTCAGCTCATGGGCATTCACCCATGCACAGAGGAAAAATAAAATCTACGACTCGGGTACATTTTCTTCTTTTTTTTTTCTTTTAAATGAGCAAGTTTGAGAGTCTGCAGTTTGGACTACCATGAGAATTGATAGGAAGGTGGGAGTCCCAGGCAATCCCAGGTCCTGTAGCAGCAGCTGGTGGGGTTCCCACTCCATGCCGTGCAGAGCCTGAACTCAGGATGACACCTGCACCTGCTCTCTGGCTGGGCTCTGGCACAGGAAGCCCTCAGCAAACACCCCCGGCACAGCCATGCCATAGCCAGACAACAGCTCGCTGTACCACACCATCATGGGAGACAGCAGTTATTCTGAGCATCTCACTGCTGAAGAAACCAAGGCTCAGAGAGGACCATGCATGCACAAGGTCCCACAGGGACCCAAGAATCCACCAAGTGTCAGACAACTTGCCCATGCTCTTCACGGAGCACCTTGGAACCCTCCCCGACAGGCACCGCTGGCTCTCCTGACGTGGCCTGCAAGTGCACGGAGCCCCTTCCTCCTCGGCCATTCCCAGTTTAGATTCCCAGGGGAAGCATCAGATGGCCCCTCTCCCCTGCTGGCAGCAGAGCAGACGGAACCAGCCAGAGCCCAGGGCAGTGCTCACCTGCAGGCCAGTCCACTGCGGCCAGCACCGCCCCCTAGAACCTACTGCGGGCATGGCGGCCGCCAGTCCTGGGTCTCCCGGCTCAGGTAGTGCCAGGAAGCTGCGGGCATGGCGGACAGCTGTCCTCGGTCTGGAGGCGCCATCCTGGCTTTCAAATCTGCTCCAGAGGTTATCTGGGGAGGGGCTGCTCCCTCACAGAGGGAGCCTCTAAGCCCACCAGGCGGGCACTTTCAGCCCAAAGCCTCCGGGCCACCTCCTCATCCTCAGCCTCGGGGGCCGGGGCCTTCTGTTTGAGTCCATCGAAGTACTTTCCGGAAACATCCGCCAGTTCCTCCGCCACGGCCAGGTATGTGCTGGGCTGGGCGGCCAGCTCGGGGCTCTTGACCAGCAGCCAGAAGATGGGCCCTGCAATCAGCCCACAGGGCATTTAGTCCACACTCGCTCAGAGAGAAGGAAGGAAGCCCCGCTCCCCGGTCAGGGAGCTCCGGGTCCCTGGAGTCCCACAGAGCCCTCCTCTAGCCCTTTCCCCTTGGCTGCCTCCATCTGCAGTTCCCTTCCCTGGCACTGCCCAGGCAAATCCCACCAGACCAGGGATCAGACCAAAAGCTGCCTCCCCCAAGGAGCCTTCCTGGCTTTGTCCAGGAAAATGGAAGCTCTCTTCCTCTTGGTCAGCCCCAGTCCTCACCCTACCCCATTTCTCCTTTAATAACATCTTATTAAATGCACCTGGCACCAGCCTCAGGTTAAGGATCTTTTTTTGGCCAGGCGAGGTGGCTCAGGCCTGTAATCCCAGCACTTTGGGAGGCCGAGGCGGGCGGATTACCTGGGGTCGGGAGTTCCAGACCAGCCTGGCCAACATGGTGAAACCCCATTTCTACTAAAAATACAAAAATTAACTGGGTGTGGTGGCGGGTGCCTGTAATCCCAGCTGCTCGGGAGGCTGGGGCAGGAGAATCCCTTGAACCTGGGAGGCGGAGGTTGCAGTGAGCTAAGATCACACCATTGCACTCCAGCCTGGGTGACAATAGCAAGACTTCGTCTCAAAAAAAAAAAAAAAAAAGGGCTGGGCGTGGTGACTCACGCCTGTAATCCCAGCACTTTGGGAGGCTGAGGCAGGTGGATCACCTGAGGTCAGGAGTTCAAGACCAGCCTGGCCAACGTGTGAAACCCTGTCTCAACTAAAAATAAAAACTTAGCTGGGTGTGGTGGTGGGCGCCTGCAATCTCAGCTACTTTGGGAGGCTGAGACAGGAGAATCACTTGAACCGAGGAGGCAGAGGTTGGAGTGAGCCAAGATTGTGCCACTGCACTCCAGCCTGGGTGACGAGCAAAACTCCGTCTCAAAAAAAAAAAGACATTTATTTATTTATTTATTGAGACCTGGTGTCTTGCTCTGTCACCCAGGCTGGAGTGCAGTGGTGTGATCTCAGCTCACTGCAACCTCTGCCTCCCGGGTTCAAGCGATTCTCCTGCCTCAGCCTCCTGAGTAGCTGGGACTACAGGTGCACACCACCACACCTGGCTAATTTTTGTATTTTTAGTAGAGACGGGGTTTCACCATGGTGGCCAGGCTGGTCTCGAACTCCTGACCTGAGGTAATCCGCCCACCACAGCCTCCCAAAGTGCTGGGATTACAGGCGTGGCTATTAGCCTCGCCAAGTTAAGATTCTTGATGCCAACCAATCACCCACTCCATGTTTTTCAGGATTATAAACACTAGTCATAAAGCATGAACTGCCTGGGGGTGGTGGCTCACACCTGTAATCCCAGCACTTTGGGAGGCAGTTGGATCACCTGAGGTCAGGAGTTTGAGACTAGCCTGACCAATATGGTGAAACCCCACCTCTAGCTGGGTGTGGTGGTGTGCACCTGTAATCCCAGCTACTTGGAGACAGGAGAATCGCTTGAACCTGGGAGGTGGAAGTTGCAGTGAGTGGAGATCATGCCATTGTACTCCAGCCTGGGCGACAGAGCAAGACTTCATCTCAAAAATAAGTAAGTAAAGCTCCAACTGTTTGTTCCACCTATTCTCTGGGCGGGGTCCTGTGCTGGCCCTTTCAAGGAAGGTCTCGTATAACCCCCCCAGTGACTGTGAGGTGAGTCCTATTAAGGCCTGCACTCTGCAGATGAAGAAACAGGCTCAGAGGGGTAACAGCTCTTCCCCAGGAGGTGCAGCTGGTTTGGGGTGAAGCTGGAGTTACCCTGAGTACAGCCTGACTCCAGGCGTCAGCTCCACGGCCTCTTCCTCTGAGACACGGTTTTCTCATCCGCCAGCAGGGCTCTGCCTGCTTCCCGGGGCTGTTAGAGGCTGGCAGGCCAGGTCAACGGAGGAAAGGGACCTGTGCTCTGTGCCTCAGAAGACGTAGGCGAGGAGCAGGCATGAGGCCTCAGGGACGGTCTCTGAGGGAGGGTCCTGGGCCCTGGGCTGAGAAAGCAGGGGTGGAGGGCTCCACGTGGAGACCCCAGGCTGGGAGGGGACTCACCGAGTGTGGTGCTGGAGAAGGTGGAGCCATGGATGCCCGTGTGTCTGCCCAGCTCTGTCCTGGCCACGCCGGGGTGCAGGGCGTTGACAGTCACACCAGAGCCTGGGGAAGAAAGAAAGAGAAGACTGAGGGAGGGGTCCAGCCTCACCTGGGAGGCTGTGGCAGCCCACACCCAGCTGTGGGGCTTCCGGGCACCAGGCTGCTTCCTGCACTCAAACCCCATCGTCCCTCTTGCTCTGGAATCTTAGTGAAGTGGTCTTATCTTGCGGAGCGGCTCTGCCACATGGCTGCTGGGAGCCGAGCTTTCCTGGAGGGCTTCATAAACCCAGAACGCTGAGCTTACCCCGGGAGCCTGCATCGGTGCGTGGCGGTGGGACCTAAGATACTGTAACTCTGACCAGCTCCCAGTGGGGCTGGCACCGCTGGTCCACAGACCGTCTTTCAGAAGCAAAGGCCTAGCACAGATTTCTCAATCTCAGCACTGTGGATGCTGTGGGTTGGGAGGAGTGAGGGGCCATCCCGTGCGCTGTAGGACATTGAGAGCATCTGGGCCTTTACCCTCCAGATGCCCAGAGCAATCTCTCCCCAAGCCAGCTGTGATCACTGTGTTTCCAGGCATTGACAACTGCGGGTCAAAACTGCCCCTGGTTGAGACTCACTGGCTGGAGCCAAAAGGCTGAGCTGCCTGCCCAACAGCAGCAGGGAAGGACATCTGATCCAGGCAGACTAGACCACCTGGGATGAACAGACAATCCTCAGAAGAACGATCGATTAGTGATGTCTGCTTCAGGCACCAGAAGCGGGCAGCGTGGTCCACATGCTCTACTTTTGCTGACTCTGTTCTGGATCCACCGTTTGGCCTCCCATCAGCCTAGGATCATGGAAAGGCCGCTCTAGGCTCAGAGTAAAGCAAGAGGGAGGCCGAGCCTAGCGCCCCCGTACCTTGCAGCCGCCGGCTCAGCTCCTTGGTGAAGAGGACGATGGCGAGCTTGCTCTGGCAGTAGGCGGCTTTGGTGTTATACTTCCTCGTCTGCCAGTTCAAGTCGTCAAAGTCTATGTGCCCAGCAACATGGGCCAGGGACGAGAGGTTGATGATCCGCGAAGGGGCTGAGGCTTTCAGCTTGTCCAGCAGCAAGTTTGTCAAGAGAAAGTGACCTGGATTAAGGATGATGAAAAGGTCACTTTTGACTCACACCTAAAATCCCAGCACTTTGGGAGGACGACGGGGGAGGATCGCTTGAACCCATGGTGCAGCCCCTGCCCAGGCCTCACCCAGGTGGTTAACGCCAAACTGCATCTCGAAGCCGTCCTCGGTGGTCCAGTGGGGGCACCGCATCACACCCGCGTTGTTGATTAGAATGTCCACTCGCTCCTCCTCTGGAAGAGAGGGGTGGAGGAGGAGACATCCCGGTGAGGACAGACCCCAGCCTGATGCACCAGCAGAAACACTCCTGTGCTCCCACAACCTGTGAATGTGGCCTGTGCCGGAAACAGGGTCTGTGCCGAAGTGGCCATGTCAGGATGCGGTCATTAGGGTGAGCCCTAATCCAATGACTGGTGTCCTTATAGGAAGGGAAAACAGAGACAGAGACACATGGGGAGAAGGCCATGTGTGGACAGAGGCAAAGACCGGAGAGGCACAGCTCCAAGGTGAGGGTGGGCCGCCCCCGCTGGAAGTGGAAGAGGCTGGGAGGATTATGGCCCGTCTCACAGGTCACAGCCACAGGGACACCGCGATTCAGACTGCCGGCTTCCGGAACCGTGAGGGAATGCACGTCTGAGGGTGTAAGCCACTGGGTTTGCAGTACATTGTTACAGCAGCTCCAGGACACTCACACGCCCTCCGCACCTCCATCTAAGCCTTGGGACTCCTTCCTGCCGGAGCCCCGAGGCCAAAAACGGGAGGTTACCGGTGGGAGCCCCGGCACCGCAGGCGTGGTTTCATTCCCAAACCTGCCACCTCACTCATACAAGCAACCAAAGGACACACAGATGGAGACTGCAGCCTCAGTTTCCTCAGCTGTAAAATGCGCTGAACCACAGGGCCTTCCTCCCTGTACCACTCAGCTCGGGTTCCGTAACAAAGTGCCACAGACAGGTGGTTTAAAACCTCACAGACCTGGCCGGGCACAGTGGCTCACGCCTGTAATCCCAGCACTTTGGGAGGCCGAGGTGGGCAGATCACCTGAGGTCAGGAGTTTGAGACCAGCCTGGCCAACATGGAGAAACCGCGTCTTTACTAAAAATACAAAATTAGCCAGGCGTGGTGGCATGCACCTGTAATCCCAGCTACTCAGGAGGCTGAGGCGGGAAAATCGCTTGAAACCAGGAGGCAGAGGGTGCAGTGAGCCGAGATCGCATCATTACACTCCATCCTGGGCAATAAAAGCAAAACTCCATCTCAAAAAAAAAAAAAAAAATCACAGTCCCAGAGGCTGGAAGTCCCAGATCAAGGTGTGGGCAGGGCTGGTTCCCTCTCAGGGCCCTCAGGGAGGATCCGCTCTGGTCTCTCTCCTTGGCTCACAGGTGACCATCTCCTCTCTCCCTCTTCCCTTCCTCTTCCCTTTGGAGCTGTCTCTTTTTTTTTTTTCATTTTTCCTTTTTTAATTTTAGATTTTTCAGACATGGTCTCACTATGTTGCCCAGGCTGGTCTCAAACTCTTGAACTCAAGCAATCCTCCTGCTTTGGCCTCCCAGAGTGCTGCAATTTCACTGCCCCCAGCCTATTTTTTTTTTTTTGGGGGGGGGAGATGGAGTTTCACTCTTGTCACCCAGGCTGGAGTGCAATGGTGCGATCTTGGCTCACTGCAACCTCTGCCTCCCAGGTTCAAACAATTCTCCTGCCTCAGCCTCCCAAGTAGCTGGACTACAGGCATCCACCACCACACCGGGTTAATTTTTTGTATCTTTAGTAGAGACGGGGCTTCACCATGTTGGCCAGGCTAGTCTCACACTCCTGACCTCGTGATCCACCTACCTCAGCCTCCCAAAGTGCTGGGACTGCAGGCGTGAGCCACCACACTCAGTCTACTTGGCCTATTTTTTATATTTCTTTGAGACAGGGTCTCCCTCTGACACCTGGGCTGGAGTACAGTGGCGCAATCACTGCTCACTGCAGCCTCAACCTCCCAGGCTCAAGCAGTCTTCTTGCTCAGCCTCCCAAGTAGCTGGGGCCACAGGCATGCGCCACCATGCCCAGCTAGCACGTCTGTTTCTGTGCGCAAATCTCCCCTTTTCATAAGGACACCAGTCACTGGATTAGGGCCCACCCTAATGACCTCATTTTCACTTCAGGACCTCTGTAAACACCCACCTCTAAATGAAGTCACATGCTGAGGGATGGGGGTTCAGGATCCCAACCTATCCTTGGGGGTGGAGGACACAATGGAATTCATAATGCTCCCGAAGTGGTTTTCGGCGGGGATCGTGAATTAGGTGTCCAGCGCGTAACACACAGACACCATCTGGTTCTCTGTGTGAGAAGGAGGGGGTTGCAGCACACCCGTCATGAATACCAGCTCTGGAGCAGGACAGACAGGTTCAAAGCCTGGCTCCACCCCGACCAGCTGCATGATCCTGGCCAAGTCACATCACTTCTCTGTGACTCAGTTTACTCCTTGTAAAAAAAAAAAAAAAAAAAGGATAATAACATCACCTGCCTGGTACAACTGTATACTTACTCATTCAGTAAGTATTTTCTAAGCACCTATTACTGGGCACTGGAAATACAGGGTGGACAGCACAGCCGAGGCCCCGTCCGTGTGGACCGGACATTCCAGTGCAGCTGAGAGCCACTTCCACTCGTGAGAGAATCTACCCGTGACAGAGCTGCGTGGAAGCTGACAGGAGGCCCCTCTCAGGAGGTGACGCAGAAACTGGGACCGGGAAAATGAGGCAGGGCCCACGTGCGGAGACCCAGGGAAGGGGGATGCAGGCAGCAGGCGCAGCACGGGTAAGGCCCAAAGGCGGGACAGGGAGACTCCACTCACAGCTGGGCGCCCAGGAGTGCCGCCAGCTTCTGGTGTTTTGTTTTGGTTTTTTTTCTTTTTTTTTTTGAGATGAAGTCTCACTCTGCCACCCAGGCTGGAGTGCAGTGGTGTGATCTTGGCCCATGGCCCACTGCAACCTCTACCGCCTGGGTTCAGGCGATTCTGCTGCCTCAGCCTCCCGAGTACTGGGATTACAGGTGCCCGCCACCGCACCCTGCTAATTTTTGCATTTTTAGTAGAGACGGGGTTTCACCATCTTGGTCAGGCTGGTCTTGAATTCTTCACCTCGTGATCCACCCGCCTCTGCCTCCCAAAGTGCAGGGATTACAGGTGTGAGCCACCGCGCCCAGCCTGTTTTTTTTTTTTTCTTTTTATGAGAGGGAAGCTCACTCAGTGGCCCAGGCTGGAGTGCAGTGGCGCGATCTCAGCTCACAGCAACCTCCGCCGCCAGGGCTCAAACGATCCTCCCACCTCAGCCTTCCACATAGCTGAACCACAGGCGCCCGACACCACAAGCAGCTACTTTTAAAATTTTTTGTAGAAATGGGGTTTGGCTATGTTGCTTAGGCTGGTCTCGAATTTCTGAGCTTAGGCAATTCGCCCACCTCGGCCTCCCAAAGTGCTGGGATTGCAGGCGTGGGCCACAGTGCCTGGCCTGTTGTTTTGTTTATCTGGGAACTGCCTCAACTTTTTTTTTTTTTTTTTTTTTTTGGACACAGGGTCTCACCCCGAGTGCAGTGGTACAATCAAAGCTCACTGCAGGCCGGGCGTGGTGGCTCACATCTGTAATCCCAGCACTTTGGGAGGCCGAGGCGGGCAGATCACCTGAGGTCAACCAGCCTGACCAACATGGTGAAACCCTGTCTCTACCTAAAACAAAAAAGTAGCCGGGCATGGTGGCAGGTGCCTGTAATCCCAGCTACTCAGGAGGCTGAGGCAGGAGAATTATTTGAAACCAGGAGATGGAGGTTGCAGCCTGACCAACAGGAAGAAACCCCGTCTCTACTAAAAATACAAAATTAGCCGGGCGTGGTGGCGCATGCCTGTAATCCCAGCTACTCGGGAGGCTGAGGCAGGAGAATCACTTGAACCCAGGAGGTGGAGGATGCCGTGAGCCAAGATCCCGTCATTGCACCAGCCTGGGCAACAAGAGCAAAACTCCGTCTTAAAAAAAAAAAAAAAAAATCCCTCACTGCAGCCTCAACCTCCCAGGCTCAAGCAATCCTCCCACCTCCACCTCCCAAGTAGTTGGGACTACAAGTGCACACCATCACGCCTGCCTCATTGTTTTTTATTTTTTTTTTGAGATGGAGTCTCACTCTGTCACCCAGGCTGGAGTGCAGTGGCGCCATCTCGGCTCACTGCAAGCTCCACCTCCCGGGTTCACGCCATTCTCCTGCCTCAGCCTCCCAAGTAGCTGGGTTACAGGTGCCCGCCACCACGCCCGGCTAATTTTTTTGTGTTTCTTAGTAGACACGGGGTTTCACCGTGTTGGCCAGGATGGTCTCGATCTCCTGACCTTGTGATCCGCCCGCCTCAGCCTCCCAAAGTGCTGGGATTACAGGCGTGAGCCTGCACGCCTGCCTGATTGTTTTGTATTTTTTGTAGAGATGAGGTCTTGCTATGTTGCCCAGGCTGATCTCAAACTCCCTGATAAACAAGGCTGTGGGTACCTGCTTCCTGGGGCTCTTTGCTTTGTGTTCTTTCTAGTCGGGAGCTGGGAAGAGCCACAGCTTCCAGCTTTGTCAGAGTGTCATCTCACAAACTGATCTTCCCAAAACTTCTGTCTCCCAAAGTGCCGGGATGACAGGCGTGAACCGCTGCACCTGGCCTGCCCCAGTGTGGTAGAATACACACCACATAAAATGGACGATCTTCACTATTTTTAAATCCACTGCTGTCTTTATTCCTGGCTGTTGATCTTAGGAAAACACCAAGAAGCTGGTACTTGATTTGCTAAAAAAGTCACAGACACAGCTTTACTTAATCCTCTAGAGAGGCTGGGCGTGGTGGCTCATGCCTGTAATCCCAGCACTTTGGGAGGCCGAGGTGGCTGGATCATGAGGTCAGGAGATCGAGACCATCCTGGCTAACACGGTGAAACCCCGTCTCTAGTAAAAAATATAAAAAATTAGCCGGGCGTGGTGGCAGGCGCCTGTAGTCCCCCGCCACTCGGGAGGCTGAGGCAGGAGAATGGCATGAACCCGGGAGGCGGAGCTTGGAGTGAGCCGAGATGTGCCACTGTCCTCCAGCCTGGGCGACAAAGCAAGATACCGTCTCAGAAAAAAAAAAAAACCCCTCTAGAGAATCCCAGAAAATAGAAGGAATTATTCCATTTCCCGGAAGAGGAACGTGTGGCTAAGAGAGGAGGCATCACCTGCCCAGGTGTGTCCAGCCGGGGTCCTCACTGTCTCAGGGACCTCAGTGCTCCGGACACCTGTGTCCACAAGCCAGAGACAGGATCAGAGGCGCCCTGGGTGGGATTGCCTGGGACAGTGTGCATGAAGGTGACAGTGCTGTACCTGGTACACAGCAGGTGCTTAATAAATGTTCATCCACCTCTGAGACTCTGAGGCATTGCCCTCTCACTGTTCTTTGTGATCTCACCGTAGTGCCTCTCACCTACCCGACAACAGTGCCGGCTCTTTCTTGATCCCCAAGGGCACAGCAGGGGCTCAGTATGAATGAATGAATGAACCAACGAATGTGCACCTGCACCTGCCTCCCTAGGGCTGTGAGTGGCACAAGGACAGCTCTGGTTCATCTCACACCTCCAGCACCTGGTCAGGTCTGAGATCACGTCTGCTAAATAAATGAGGTCCCACAACTCCCCCATTCCTTGTTCATTTCCTGAGTACCCGTTTACTGAGCGGGGCACATTGACTCTGAAGAAGAAAGCTTTGGCCCTTTCAGTGCCAGACTAGAAAAGAAACAAAGCAGCTGGGCATGGTGGCTCATGCCTGTAATCCCAGCACTTTGGGAGGCTGAGGCAGGCGGATCACAAGGTCAGGAATTCGAGACCAGCCTGGCCAACATAGTGAAACCCCGTCTCTACTAAAAATACAAAAATTAGCCGGGCATGGTGGCACCCGCCTATAGTCTTGGGAGGCTGAGGCAGGAGAATCGCTTGAACCCAGGAGGCGGAGGCTGCAGTGAGCCAAGATCGCATCATTGCACTCCAGCCTGGGTGACAGAGCAAGACTCCATCTCAAAAAAAAGGTCTTGCTCTGTCATCCAGGTTAGAGTGCAGTGGCACAAATACGGCTCACTGCAGCCTTGAACTCTCGGGCTCAAGTGATCCTCTTGCCTCAGCCTCCTGAGTAGCTGGGACTGTAGGCACATGCCAGGATGCCCGGCTAATTTTTTTTTTTTTTTAATCTTTGGTACACACAAGGTCTCACTATGCTTCCTAGGCTGGTCTCTAACTCCTGAGCTCAAGCAATCCTAAGAGAAGAGATTTTAAATGTGGTCACCACAAAAACAGGTAAGTATTTGAGGTAATGCATATGTTAATTAGCTTGATTTAGCCATTCTACAATGTATACAATGTACATCATGCTGTACATAATATATACAAGTATACATGTCAACTAAACAATAAATAATTTTAGTGTATTCTTGAGTCTATTTAAAGATGAACAAGAATAGAAAAGCTAGAGGATGGTCCCAGTTTTACATAAAAATATATAAATACACACACAAACCTATTATAAACAAGACTAGAAAGATCCATAAAAGTGATTCTCCTGGGGCTGGTGCAGATCAAAGTTGTTTAGTTCTGTCTTCTTTTTTATTGAGACAGAGTCTCACTCTGTCACCCAGGCTGGAGTGCACTGGCACAATCTCAGCTCACTGCAACCTCCGCCTCCTGGGTTCAAGCAATTCTCCTGCCTCAGCACCCTGAGTAGCTGAGATTACAGGTGTGCACCACCACGCCTGGCTAATTTTTGTATTTTTAGTAGAGACAGGGTTTCACCATGTTGGCCAGGCTGGTCTCGAACTCCTGACCTCAAGGGATCCACCTGCCTCAGCCTCCCAAAGTGCTGGGATTAACAGGCGTGAGCCACTGTGCCCAGCCAGTTCTGTCTTCTTTACATTGCAGTATTTTATAAATGTCCCATAACAAACACATATTTCTTTAACCATGGTGGGGAAGGCACTTGATCAATAAATGCTTAATAAGGTCAGGTGCGGTGGCTCACGCCTGTAATCCCAGCACTGTGGGAAGCTGACCTGGGTGGATCACTTGAGCCCAGGAGTTGGAGACCAGCCTGAGCAACATGGTGAAACCCCAGCTCTAAAAACAAAACAAAACAATAAAACAATAATTAGCTGTGTGTGGTGGCGTATGCCTGTACTCCCAGCTACTTGGGAGGCTGAAGTGGGAGGATCCCTTGAGCCCAGCAGGTTGAGACTGCAGTGAGCCATGACTGCACCACTGCACTCTAGCCTGGGTGACAGAGATGGATCCTGTCTCAAACAAACTAATTATTCAGGTAGGGCACGGTGGCTCACACCTGTAATCCCAGCACTTTGGGAGGCCAAGGGAAGCAGATCACCTGAGGTCAGGAGTTCGAGACCAGCCTGACCAACATGGTGAAACCCTGTCTCTACCTAAAACACAAAAAATTAGCCAGGCACGGTGGCGGGTGCCTGTAATCCCAGCTACTCAGGAGGCTGAAGCAGGAGAATCATTTGAAATCGGGAGACGGAGGTTGCAGTGAGGCAAGATCACACCACTGCACTCCAGCCTGGGCAACAGAGCGAGACCCCATCTGTCTCAAAACAAACAAACAAAACAAAGTCAGCCGGGCGCAGTGGCCCACGCCTGTAATCCCAGCACTCTGGGAGGCTGAGGCAGGAGAATCACCTGAGGTCAGGAGTTCCAGACCAGCCTGGCCAACGTGGTGAAACCCCGTCTCTACTAAAAATACAAAAATTAGCAGGGTATGGTAGCAGGCATCTTAATCCCAGCTACTCAGGAGGCTGAGGTCCGCGCTTGAACCCAGGAGGCAGAGGTTACAGTGAGCCGAGATCGCGCCATTGCACTCAGCCTGGCCGACAGAGTGAGACTCCCTCTCAAAATAACAGTAGTAATAAATAAATAAAGTCGTTGCTTGCAGGCTGTACAAAAAAAGGCAGCAACTGGACTTGGCCCCTAACTCATAGTTTGCCAAAACTCTGCTCTAAAGTTTGCTTGCTTCATTCACTTCTCAGAGCCTGGCCCTGGGAGCCGCCTATCCCAGTCCTCATCCCACATGGCCAGCGTTCTCCTACCTTCAATGATCTTTGCTGCAAACTCTCGGATAGACTTGAGGGAAGCCAAGTCCAGGTGCCGGGCGTTGACATGGTGATTGAGGGTCTCCCCGCGGATGTCCTTTGCTGCCGCCTCACACTTCTCCATGTCTCGGCAGGCCAGGATGATGTTGCCTCCTGAAAACCCAGGATGGAAAAAGATTTAAATTAATAATCCACTCCTGGGTACTGACCCCAGAGACATGAAAACATACGTCTACACAAAAACACATCCACCAATGTTCACTGCGGCATTCTTCACAAAAGCCAAAAGGTAGAAACAACCAAATGCCCATCTGTGGATGAAGGGACAACAAAATGTGGTCCATCCATAGAGATGGAATATTAGACGGCCGTGAAAAGGAGTGAAGCACTGGCTCATGCTACAGCAAGGATGACCGTCAGAAACACTGTGCTCGGGGAAAGAAACCAGACACGAAAGACCACACAGCGTACAATCCCATTTACATGAATTCTATGTATATGATTTCACACCTATGAAACGCCCAGAATAGGCAAATCCATAGAGAAAGAAAATAGATTCTTGGTTTTCTAGGGCAGGGGGTGGGGAGAGGGAATTACAGCTTGATAGTTACAGTGAGCAGGTTTCTTTCTAGGGTAACAGATGTTCTAAGATTGATTTTAAAGATGGTTGCATCATTCTGTGACTATACTAAACATCACTGAATTGGTCGGGCACGGTGGCTCACACCTGTAATTCCAGCACTTTGGGAGGCCAAGGCAAGAGGATTCCCCATCCTCTCCTTTTTTTTTTTTTTTTAGATGGAGTCTCACTCTGTCACCCAGGCTGGAGTGCGGTGGCGCAATCTCGGCTCACTGCAACCTCCACCTCCTGGGTTCAAGCAATTCTCCTGCCTCAGCCTCCCGAGTAGCTGGGATTACAGGCACCTACCACAACTAGCTAATTTTTTATTTTTTTATTTTTAGTAGAGACAGCGGTTTCACCATGTTAGCCAAGCTAGTCTTGAACTTCTGACCTCAGGTGATCCACCCCGCGGCCTCCCAAAGTACTGGGATTACAAATAAGCCACAATGCCCAGCCTCCAATTTTTTTTGTTGTGGTAAAATACAAATCACTTAAAATTTATCATCTTAACCCCCTTTTCTTTTTGTTTATTATTATTTTTTTTTTTTTGAGTCAGTCTCACTCTGCTGCCGCGGCTGGAGTGCTGGCGCCATCACAGCTCATTCAGCCTTGAACTCCTAGGCTCAAGTGACCTGGGACTATAGGTACCACCTGTGCCAGCATGCCTGGCTAACTCTGGTAGAGATGGGGGTGTTGCTATGGTGTCCAGGCTGGTCTGGAACCCCTGGCCTCAAGTGATCCTCCTGCCTCAGCCTCCAAAAGTGCTGGAATTATAGATGTGAGCCACCGAGACCCGCCCTCTTAGCCATTTTTAAGTGTCCAGTTCATTGGTATTAAAAACATTTATGGCTGGGCCGGGCATGGTGGCTCACACCTGTAATCCCAGCACTTTGGGAGACCAAGGCAGGTGGATCACCTGAGGTCAGGAGTTCAAGACCAGCCTGGCCAACACATTACAAACTTAGCTGGGTGTGGTGTTGCATGCCTGTAATCCCAGCTACTCGGGTGGCTGAGGCAGGAGAATTGCTTGAACCCGGGAGGCGAAGGTTGCAGTGAGCCAAGATCATGCCACTGCACTCCAGCCTGGGCGACAAGAGCAAAACTCCATCTCAAAAAAAAAAAAACAATAATAATAATTCCTAATGTTGTGCAACCATTACAACCATCCATCTCTCAAATTGTTTCATCTTGCCAAACTAAACTTCCGTTTCCATTAAACAGTAACTCCCCATTCTCCCCTCCCCTCCTGACCCCTGGCAAGCACCATTCCAACTTCTCTATGAATTTAACTGTAGGTAGCTCCTGTAAGTGGAATCATACCGTATTTGCTCTTCTGTCGACTGGCTTATTTCACTTCATGGAATGTCCTCAAGGTTCATCTGTTTCAATGCCCTTTTTTTTGTTTTGCTTTGTTTTGTTTTGTTTTTGAGTCTCACTCTGTCACCCAGGCTGGAGTGCCGTGGCGCCATCTCTGCTCACTGCAACCCCTGCCTCTCAGGTTCAAGCGATTCTCCTGCTTCAGCCTCCCAAGCAGCTGGGACTACAGGTGCCCACCACAACTCCTGGCTAATTTTTGTATTTTTAGTAGAGAGGGGGTTTCACCATGTTGGTTAGGCTGGTCTCGAACTCCTGACCTCGTGATCCGCCAGCTTTGGCCTCCCAAAGTACTGATTACAGGCGTGCACCACCGCGCCCGGCCAGAATGCCCTTCCTTTTTAAGGCTGAATCATATGCCCCTGTCTATAGAAGCCACATTCTGTTTCCCTGTTCATCTGTGGATGGGTGCCTGGGTTCCTTCCACCTCCGGACTGTGAATAATGCTGCAGTGAGCATGGATGTACAGATATCTCTCTGAGAGCCAAAGCAGGGGAGATTTTACCTCTCCTGGCCAGTTCCAAGGCGGTCTGCTTCCCGATGCCTGTGTTGGCACCCGTCACGATGACCGTCTTCCCAGGGATGGTGGCCTTGCTGGGGCAAGCCCCACCGGTGACATAGTCCCTGAGGGTGAGAAGCGGCACGGTCAGTCCTGTGGGCCCACTCTCACCCCACGTGCCCCTGACTGAATGATCTCAGGCAACCTTGTCTGAGCTCACTCACATACCCCAACTGAAACACAGACATCATCACATCACACCAAGGGACCTCTGTCATGTTCTCCATAAGTGGCTCCACCCAGTGTCTGGCGTGTGGAACGCCTTCAGCAAGTGACAGTCATTATTTTATAAATGCTCACTGCATGAGATTCCCGGCCAGGTGAGGGGGCTTGCACCTGTAATCCCAGCACTTTGGGAGGCCAAAGTTTTGGGGGTGGGGGGGGGCGGGGGCGGATCACTTGAGGTCAGGAGTTCGAGTCCAGCCTGGCAAACATGGCGAGACCCCGTCTCTACTTAAAATACAAAAATTAGCCAGATGTGTAGGGAAAAGAGAGATTAGACTGTTACTGTGTCTATATAGAAAGGAAAGACATAAGAGACTCCATTTTGAAAAAGACCTGTACTTTGAACAATTGCTTTGCTGAGATGTTGTTAATTTGTAGCTTTGACCCAGCCACTTTGACCCAATCTGGAGCTCACAAAAACCTGTGTTGTATGAAATCAAGGTTTAAGGGATCTAGGGCTGTGCAGGAAGTGCCTTGTTAACACAATGTTTCCAAGCAGTATACTTGGTAAAAGTCATCGCCAGTCTCTAGTCTCAATAAACCAGGGGCACGATGCACTGCAGAAAGCTGCAGGGACCTCTGCCCTTGAACACAGAGTATTGTCCAAGGTTTCTCCCCGTGGGATAGTCTGAAATATGGCCTCGTGGGATGAGAAAGACCTGACCGTCCCCCAGCCCAACACCCGTAAAGGGTCTGTGCTGAGGTGGATTGGTAAAAGAGGAAAGCCTCTTGCAGTTGAGAGAGAGGAAGGCCACTGTCTCCTGCCTGACCCTGGGAACTGAATGTCTCGGTATAAAACCTGATTGTACATTTGTTCAATTCTGAGACAGGAGAAAAGCCGCCCTATGGCGGGAGGCGAGACATGTTTACAGCAATGCTGCCTTGTTATTCTTTACTCCGCTGAGATGTTTGGGTGGAGAGAAACATCAATCTGGCCTACGTGCACGTCCAGGCATAGTACCTTCCCTTGAACTTAATTATGTCATAGATTCTTTTGCTCACATGGTTTTTGCTGACCTCATTATCACCCTGCTCTCCTACTACATTCCTTTTTGCTGAAATAATGAAGATAATAATCAGTAAAAACTGAGGGAACTCAGAGGCCGGTGCCGGTGCAGGTCCTTGGTATGCTGAGCGCCGGTCCCCTGGGCCCACTGTTGTTTCTCTATACTTTGTGTCTTATTTCTTTTCTCAGTCTCTCGTCCCACCCAACTAGAAATACCCACAGGTGTGGAGGGGCAGGCCACCCCTTCACAGGCGTGGTGGTGCACACCTGTAATCTCAGCTACTCAGGGGGCTGAGGCACGAGAATTGCTTGAACCTGGAAGGCGGAGGTTGCAGTGAGTCGAAATGGTGCCAGCCTGGGCAACAGAGCGAGACTCTGTCTCAAAAAAATTTAAATTTAAATTTAAAATGCCCGCTGCACGAGATTCCCAAGGCTGCTGTACGCATTACCACAGACTTAGTGGCTTAAAACCACATAAGTGCATCCTCCTCCAGTTCGGCAGGTCAAGAGTCCAAAACATGTCTCACTGGAATAAATCAAGGTATTGGTAGAGTCAGGTTCCTTCTGGAGGCTCTAGGGAAGAATCCACTTCCAGCTCCTACAGACCGCCACATTCCTCCACTCTTGGCCCCGCCTCCATCTTCAACCTGCATCCTCACTGGAACCTCTCCTTTATTTATTTATTTATTTACTTATTTATTTTTGAGACAGAGTCTCGCTCTGTCGCCCAGGCTGGAGTGCAGTGGCTCAATCTCAGCTCACTGTAACCTTCGCCTCACAGGTTCAAGCGATTCTCCTGCCTTAGCCTCCTGAGTGGCTGGGATTACAGGCACATGCCACCACACCTGGCTAATTTCTTTTGTATTTTTAGTAGAGACAGAGTTTTACCACGTTGGTCAGGCTGGTCTCGAACTCCTGACCTTGTGATCCGCCTGCCTTGGCCTCCCAAAGTGCTGCGATTACAGGCGTGAGCCACCACACCCAACAACCTCTCCTTCTATCTTCCATCTCCCCTCTGACTGAGCCTCCTGCTCCCTCTTATAAGGACCCTATAAGACTACAAGGCAGGACCGGCACAGTGCCTCACACCTGTAATCCCAGCACTTTGGGAGGCCAAGACAGGAGGATCACTTGAGGTCAGGAGTTCGAGACCAGCCATGGCCAACATGCTGACACCCCATCTCTACTAAAAATACAAAAATTAGCAGGGCTTGGTGGTGCACGCCTGTAGAGTCAGCTACTCGGGAGGCTGAAGTGGGAGGACCACCTGAGCCCAGGGAGGGTGAGGCTGCAGTGAGCTGTGACAGCATGACTGCACTCCAGCCTGGGTGACAGAGAGACCCTGTCTCCAAAAAAAAAAAAAGACTACATGATAATCATAAGATCCTTCACTTGGCCGGGCACGGTGGCTCACGCCTGTAACCCCAGCACTTTGGGAGGCCAAGGTGGCCAGATCCCCTTTGGTCGGGAGCTCAAGACCAGCCTGACCAACATGGAGAAACCTCGTCTCTACTAAAAATACAAAATTAGACAGGCGTGGTGGCACATGCCTGTAATCCCAGCTACTCAGGAGGCTGAGGCCGGACAATCGCTTGAACCCGGGAGGTGGAGGTTGTGGTGAGCCGAGGTCGTGCCATTGCACTCCAGCCTGGGCAACAACAGCGAAACTCTGTCTCAAAAAAAAAAAAGATGCTTCACTTAACACATCAGCGAGAACCTCTGACACGTGAGGTAATGTCGTCACACCTTCCGAGGATTAGGACGTGGACCCCTCTACGGAGTCACGACTCTGCCCACCACACCCATGTCCCACAGAGGCTAACGCTGGCAACAAGATAGTGTCCAGCAACAGGAGGCTGAGCAGGTAAACAGCACTGCACCCACAGGAGAGAAGGGCACCATGCAATACAGTGGCCACCAGCCACAGAGGCTAATTTTTAAGAAAGTTTAAATTAAGTAGGCTGGGCGAGGTGGCTCACGTCTGTAATCCCAGCACTTTGGAGGCCGAGGCAGGCGGATCACCTGAGGGCAGGTGTTTGAGACCAGCCTGGCCAACATGGCAAAACCCCGTCTCTGCGAAAAATACAAAAATTAGCCGGGCGTGGTGGCGCACGTGTGATCTCAGCTCCTGGGGACGCCAAGGTGGGAGGATCACCTGAGCCCAGGAGGTCAAGGCTGCAGTGAGCCAAGATCGCGCCACTGCACTCCAGCCTGGGCGACAGAGCCAGATTCTGCCTTTAAAAATAAACGAACAAATAAATAATACAAAACAACAAAATAAAGAGTTTAAAAGTCTGGAAGGAAAGCAACATTTACAAGGGCCCAGGCTCGCCCTTCCCTCCGAGTGACCTTGGGCCGGTGACCTGGCCGGCCAGAGCGCAGGTTTGCCCCACTCCGGGCGGGCACTGCGGGTCGGGAGCTACGGGGCCTGGACCCGGGTGCGAGGGGCGGGGGTCTCCGCCGCCTTCCCGGCCCCTGCGCTGGGGGCCCGCCTTGACCGCGCACGCGGGGCTAGAATGTACTCACTTGAGCAGCACGGCGGCGCCTGCTACCGTGCCCAGCGCCGACAGCGGCAGCAGGTAGCGGCTCATGCCGGGCCGGGGACAGGCGTCAGGCGTCAGGGGTCGGCGCGGAGCTTGCTGCACACCAGCCGCCTGGGTAGCTCCGAGGAAGAGCGCGCGACGCAGCCACAGGCGAGCGGAGGCGCAGGCGCGGCTGGGCCCGCGTCCGGAACTGGGCTGCGAGGGGCGGGGCGCGGGCGGAGGGGGCGGGGATCCTAGGGACGGGACCTATGAGCATCGGTCCTGAGCGCTGTCACAGCTGGGATTGGTGGTTTCAGGAGCCTGTGGGCGTGGCTAGTCCGGGGGCGGGGCCTATGGTTTGTTCGAATGACGTCACACTTGCCGCAGCGTATAAGGCGCTACGCAGTTCTGGAGTGAAATAGGTTCGAATCCCACCACTGTCAATTCCAGACTGTGACCCTCTGTGTGTCTTTCAACTATATCAGCCTATTCCCTCATCTGGAAATGTGTGTTTACCTTCTTCATAGACTTTTGGAGATAATTTGAGAATTTCCATGCACAGAAACAAGGATCTAGTAGCCTGTGGGTACCCAAGCTCCTGGGGTCCTGCAGGAGAAGGCGGCTGGGGGCCTGGACTCCTGGGTCTGAGGGAGGAGGGGCTGGGGGCCTGGACTCCTGGGTCCAAGGGAGGAGGGGCTGGGAGCATGGACTTCTGGGTCCGAGGGAGGAGGGCCGGGTGCCTGGACTGCTGAGTCTGAGGGAGGAGGGGCTGGGGGCCTGATTCATTCCCAAATTATCAGAATCTCATCCCCATGTCTGGCCCTGCACAGAGATATCTTCCCTGAACTCTGCCTGAACTACCTTTCTTAGATTGAGTATTGCACACACTCCTGCACTTACCTGTCCATGTTTGTCACCCCCACCAAACCGGGATGCACCTCTGGGCACCTGCTTCCCCTTGCACTGCTCACAGCGAGTGTATCTGATCACCACCTCCTACCCCTGACTGTGCCTGAGGTGCCAGGAGCAGACACCGCTGGAAACAGGGAAGAATTCAACCCAATCTAACTAGGAGTAAGTTTTCTTCCTCATCAGATGAACTGTCATCTTCTTATATGAGCCCTGCCATAATGGAGATTATACAGGCAGGAAGAGCTATTTTAAGACCTTAGTCAATGGCCGGGCACGGTGGCTCACGCCTGTAATCCCAGCACTTTGGGAGGCCGAGACAGATGGATCACGAGGTCAGGAGATTGATACCAGCCTGGCCAACATGGTGAAACCCTGTCTCTACTAAAAATACAAAAATTAGCTGGATGTGGTGGCACTCACCTGTAGTCCCAGCTACTCAGGAGGCCGAAGCAGGAGCATCACTTGAACTCGGGAGGTGGAGGTTGCAGTGAGCCGAGATTGCCCTACTGCATTCCAGCCTGGCGACAGAGTGAAATTCTGTCAAAAAAAAAAAAACCTTAGGCCTGTAGACCTTAAGCTCTCACCATCTCAAACGTATTAAACCAGTTACACAATGCCAAATGCTGTATAAGAGGCACTTGGAGGAGTCAAATTCATAGAGACAGAAAACAGAGTGGTGGCTGCAGGGGGCTGGAGATGAGATTGGGAAGTCACAGGATTTGTTTTTGTTTGTTTGTTTGTTTTGTTTTGTTTTTTGAGAGACAGTCTCACTGTGTCACCCAGGCTGGAGAGCAGTGGGCGATCTCAGCTCACTGCAACCTCTGCCTCCTAGGTTCAAGCGATTCTCCTGCCTCAGCCTCCCGAGTAGCTGGGGCTACAGGCACGTGTCACCACACCCGGCTAATTTTTGTATTTTTAGTAGAGACGGGGTTTCACCATGTTGGCCAGGTTGGTCTCAAACTCCTGACCTCAGGTGATCCACCTGCCTCGGCCACCCAAAGTGCTGGGATTACAGGCATGAGCCACCGCACCCGGCCGGGAAGCTGTTTTTTAATAGATACAGAGTTTGTTTTGCAAAATAAAAAAAAGACCTGAAGGTGGACGGTGGTGATGGTTGCACAACAATGTGAATATACTTAACATCACTGAATTGTACACTTAAAATGGTTAAGATGGTACATTTTACTTTATGCATAGTTTACCAAACTAAAAATAAAGAAAAATTTTAGACTGGGCATGGTGGCTCATGCCTGTAATCCCAGCACTTTGGGAGGCCAAAGTGGAGAATAGTATGAGCCCAGGAGTTTGAGAGCGGCCTGGACAACACGGCAAAACCTTATCTCTACAAAAAATACAAAAATTAGCAGGTTTGGTGGCACGCATCTGCACCCTCAGCTACTTGGGAGGCTGAGGTGGGAGGTCTGCTTGAGCCCAGGAGGTCAAGGCTATGATGAGCTGTGATTGTGCCACTGCACCCCAGGCTGGGTGACAGAGCAAGACCCCATCTCAAAAATAATAATAATAAATGTTTACATTTAATAACATGGGCAATTGGTTCAGATGTTCATTTTCTCAACCTTGAAAAAAAAACAACACTGTTTTTCCCTGTCTTTTTCTCCTTTTCTGTAAACTGAAATCCTAATATCATTGACTTCCAGGACAGAGATCAGCAAACTTTTTCTACAAACAGCCAGATAGTAAATAATTTCAGCTTTGTGATCCACACAGTGGCTGTTGCACCTCCTCTGCCAGAGGAGCTGGGAAGCAGCCACAGATGATGTGAAAACAAGTGAGCACAGCTGTGTTCCCATAAAACTTTATTTATAAAAATAAGCAGTGCGCCACAGTTCGCCAGCTCCTGTTTGAGAGTCTCTCTCCGATGCCCAGGCTGGAGCGCAGTGATGCAATCTCAGCTCACTGCAACCTCTGCCTCCTGGGTTCAAGCGATTCTCCTGCCTCAGCCTCATGAGTAGCTGGGATTACAGGCGCTCGCCGCCACACCTGGCTGATTTTTGTATTTTTAGTAGAGACGGGGTTTCACCATGTTGGCCAGGCTGGTTTTGAACTCCAGGCTTCAGGTGATCCACCTGCCTCAGCCTCCCAAAGTGCTGGGATTACAAAGCGTGAGCCACTGCGCCCAGCTACCTGTCATTGAATTTGGAAGGATGGCATGAAGTCATTCATAACAAGGACTTAATCCATAGTAAGTGCCAGAACATTGCTGGCTGTTAATATGGTTATTATAAAGAGAACAATGCATGCATATTCCTCCTCTGAGGATCTCCTACCTGATTCCCAGACACACCCAAGGGAGTTAGAACATCTGTTTGGACTCCAGGTGGGCTGTCCACGCCTTTACCATTTTCCTGGTTGTTAACATGTTCCTGATCAGCACTGGGTGCTGTCCCAGGTGCTGAGAGGATTCTCCCACAATGCCCTTTGCTTTCCCCATCAGAGGGTTTATGGCACCCAATTCTCATTCACATTCTGTCTCTCCTTTCTCGTTCTTCTCTATCTCTCCTCTCTCTGTCTCCTTTTCTCTTCCTCTCTCCCTCTCTGTCTTCTCTCCCTCTCTCTCCCTCTCTCTTCCTCTCTCTCTTCCTCTGTCCTCTTTTCTCTCTCTCTCTCCCTCTCTCTCACATCTCTCTTTCCCTTCCTTTCTCTTTCCTCTCTCTTCCTCTCTCCCTCTCCCTCCTTCTGTCTTCCTCTATCCCTCTCTTCCTCTTTTTTCTTCCTCTCTTCTTGTCTCTTTCTCTCCTCTCTCTCTCCCTCTTTCTCTTTCTCTCTCTCTTCCTCTCCCTTCCTCTTCCTCTCTCTCCTTCTTTCTTCCTCTCTCTCTTCTTGTGTGTGTCTCTCTCTCTCTGTTCTCTCTCTCCCTCTCCCCCCAACTCTCTTTCCCTACACACATCTTAAGAGGCCTCAGCAGTGTAAGGTAAGTTTAGCGACCCTGTGGCTGTGTAGAGATAAGCAAAGGGGGGCAAGGAGCTCCAGTGGTCCCAGACTCCAGCCATTTGAGTCTTTGCAGCCCAAGCACTGCCCCAGCTTCTTGACAGCCCCAGCCATCACCAAAGGGCACACAGATAAGCTGCCTCCACCAAGGCCTGTGCAGATGGTAGGTTTTTGAGTAAAATAGATATGATCCTTGTCTGAAGCCACTGAGTTTTAGAATAATTTGTTATATGGCCATAGTAACTGGAATGATTGCTGTAGGTTTATTTTATTTTATTCATCCTTGCTGCATGCAACACATGCATGGCTCAGTAACTAGAAGGAAAGAAGAGAAGAAGGGAGGGAGAGGCAGAGGGTGGACAGGAGAGGATGGTAGGAAGGAAAGACAGGAAAGGAGGGTGTTGGTGGCCTTGCCTGCAAGCTGAGCAGACACCACGCAAACAGGTGACCTCCCAGTTAAGATGGAGGGGACTCAGGGCTCAGGAGGGGCAGAAGGTCCCCGTGTCGGAGAGCTGGGCAAGCTTTCTGCAGGAAATGATGGGGATCACGGCCATGTGAGCCGGCAAGATTTCCCTCAGCCAGGGAGGAGACTCCGGGCTGTGGGAACAGCTTAAGCAGAAGGCATGGGACAGGAATGCATATGAGAGATATTGTGGGAGGAGGGAGGGCTGCCTGGGCTGGCATGCAGGGTATGGGAGGGGGTGGAAGGGCTGAGGCGGGAGCCATCAGTAAAAGGACCCAGAGCGCGGCTCCAATGCCATGGTAGGAAGCTTGGCGTTGACTCAGAGGGCGCTGGGTACCGCTGAAGAGTGTTGAGCCAAGGAGGGTCATGTCACGGGCAGATACATGTTTTAGAATTTCTTCTTTTCTGGCTGAGATGTAGAGTATGGACTGGAGAGAAGCACAGGGGACATAGGAAAGGTAGTTCTAGAAAGAGGGGCTGTCCCACCAGGGAAAGTCAACCAACTGTTCCCCAGTATCCATTCCTCCCTTCCAGCTCATGGCACTAAAGCCACTGATTGATTAGCTGGGTGCTATCAATCTCTCTCTCATCTCTCTCTCCCTCTTTCTCTCCCCCTCATCTGTGTCTTTTCTCTCTCTCATCTCTCTGTCTCCCTCTTTCTGTCCCCCTCCTCCGTGTCTCCTCTCTCTCTCTTCTCTGTCTCATATCTCTCTCATTGCTCTCTCCCTCTTTCTCTCCCCCTCCTGTGTCTCCTTCTCTCTCTCTCTTTCTCCCCCATCTCTCTTTCTCTCCCCCTTCCTCTCTTTCTCCTCTCACTCTTCCTGTTTCTCTCTTTCTCTTTCTTCCTCTCTTTCTCCCTGTCTCTCTCTTCCTCTTTTCCTTTGTCTCTCTCTCTCCCCCCAACTCTCTCTCCCTACACACATCTTGAGAGACCTCAGCAGTGTAAGATAAGTTTAGCTACTCCACGGCCTGGCACGGTAGCTCACGCCTTTAATCCCAGCACTTTGAGAGGCCAAGGCAGGCAGATCACTGGAGATTAGGGGTTTGAAACCAGCCTGGCCAACATGGTGAAACCCTGTCTCTACTACAAGTACCAAAAAATTAGCTGGGCATGGTGGCACGCGCCTGTAGTCCCAGCTACTCGGAAGGCTGAGGCAGGAGAATCGCTTGAGCCTGGGAGGCGGAAGTTGCAGTGAGCCGAGACCACACCTCTGCACTCCAGCCTGGGTGACAGAGTGAGATTCTGTCTCAAAAAAAGAAAGAGGAGGCCGGGCACTGTGGCTCAGGCCTGTAATCCCAGCACTTTGGGAGGCCGAGGCATGCAGATCACGAGGTCAGGAGATCGAGACCATCCTGGCTAACACAGTGAAACCCCGTCTCTATTAAAAATACAAAAAAATTAGCCAGGCACGGTGGCGGGTGCCTGTAGTCCCAGCTACTCGGGAGGCTGAGGCAGGAGAATGGCGTGAACCCGGGAGGCGGAGCTTGCAGTGAGCCGAGATCGCGCCACTGCACTCCAGCCTGGGCGACAGAGCAAGACTCTGTCAAGAAAGAAAGAAAAGAAAAGAAAAAAAGAAAAGAATAAAGGGAGGGAGGGAAGGGAAAGGAAGGGAAGGAAGGAAGGAAGGAAGGAAGGAAGGAAGGAAGGAAGGAAGGAAGGGGAGGGGAGGGGAGGGGAAGGGAGGGAAGAAAGGCAGGCCCTGATGTTCAGGGAGCTGAGAGTGAAGTCACCGGCTCCAACCCAGGATCCAAACTCAAGTCTGTCTGGGGTCCTATCCCCGTCACCACCCCCCGCCCCGACCCATCCCCCAGAGACCTGGGAAGGAGCCAGGCTCCTCCGGTTTCAGGAAAGGGCTGCACAAACCACCCCGCCACGATCCCTCCCAGAGAACAAACAGCTCCCGGCCACCGGCAGTCTCCCTCCTCCTCCTGCCAGGCTGGTTCCCAGACCCACCCTCCCTGTGTCATAAGCGCCTCTCCCCGCACTCTCACCAGGGCTGGCTGTTCTCAGAGGAACGCCCAGGAAAAACCTACCCGAACCCCTTTCAGCTGGGAAGGGGACCCGCCTGGGCTTCCTCACCGCCGATGAGACCTCCCTCGTCGTACACTTAGAGCTGCCTGTGTTTTCCTTCCTTCCTTAAGCGGGCTGGGAACTCTAGACACTCAGGGATGGGCCAGCCCATTAGAGTAAGCATTCGGCCACCTCTAGGCTGCTACGGTCACTGCTGCTGTCACCATCAACGTGACTGTCTCACACCTCACTTCCTCCGGCCAGCCACACCCCTGCAGATTTAACCCGCCAGCCTCCCTAAGGTTTCCTCTGCCTGAAATCCTCTCTGCATTCCTGGCTCATTCTCGAAATTGAGGTCAAAGCTCAGATGCCGCCTCCTTCCCTGACCACCCTACCTGAAGCAGCCGCACCTGCCTGCTCCTAGTCACGCCGTTCCTTCACCTGTTTCGTTTCCTCCACAGGGTTTACCACAATCTGAAAGTCTTATTCATGCAGGTGTCTACTTGTTTATCTCCCCACCACACCTACTAGGATGACAATATCACAAGGGCTGGGGTTTCATCTGTCTCCTCCTCCTCTGTATCTCCAGCACATGAAACATGCTTGGCACACTGTAGGTGCTTAAGTATTTGCTACTACATCACTTTGGGATTTTGCATAGGACACTCCCAATGCTTAGAATGTCAATCTTTGCTTCATTGTCCTTGGCAAACTCCTATTCATCCTTTGAAACCCCATCCATTTATCCCTTAACCAGGAAAGGCTTCTGTGCCTCATACAACCACCCATAAAGCTGGATTAGGGCTTTCTCTGGGGACACCCTTGCCCTGTGCCACACTTCCATTAGCGCACATATCCCCCATGAATTGTGCACACCAGCAGGGTCTAGAGTACGGCACACATTTTGTCTCAGGAGCTACGTATTGAATAAATAAATTAATTACTTTTTTTGAGACAAGGTCTTGCTCTGTCACCCAGGCTGGAGTGCAGTGGTGCAATCGTGGCTCACTGTACCTTGACCTCCCAGGTTCAAGCAATCCTCCCACCTCAGCCTCCCAAGCAGCTAGGACCACAGATGCAGGCCACTATGCCTGGCTAATTTTTAATTTTTTTTTTGGTAGGGATGGAATCTCCCTATGTTGCCCAGGCTGGTTTCAAACTCCTAGGCTCAAGGGATCCTCCTGCCTCTGCTTCCCAAAGTACTGGGACTATAGGTGTGAGACGCCACACTCAGCCTCATTATTTAATATGTAAGTAGCTATATCTCTCTGAGACCCAGCCCCATCTAATTTATAACCTCCCTCCTTCTCAAGAACATGCCTCAGCTCCCATTGCCAGGGAATCTGACCTTTCTCCTTGTCATAGGATTTTTTTTTTTTTTTGAGTCAGAATCTCAGTCAGTCACCCAGCCTGGAGTGCATGGCGCAATGGCTCGCTGCAACCTCTGCCTCCCGGGTTCAAGTGATTCTCCTGCCTCAGTCTCCCTAGTAGCTGGGACTACAAGCGCACGCCACCACACCCAGCTACTTTTGTAGAGATGGGGTTTCACCATGTTGGCTAAGCTGGTCTCGAACTCCTGATCTCAAGTGATGGCCTCCCAAAATGCTGGGTAACAGGTGTGAGGCACCACATCCGGCTGTCATAGGAATTTGTCAGCAAATCCTACAGACTAGAGGATGTGTGTTGGGTGGTGTGGGGGTGGGGATAACGGAGGAGATGGGGGGTGAGCTCTTCAAGCCCCAGGGGAGAATTCTGTTCCGTTCCTGGGACATCCCAGGTGAGAGGGAAGAAAGGCCAGCCCCCCAAGACAGCTATCCCAGACTGGGACAGAGGCAAACCCTGACCACAGAGCCCTGTCACTCACCCAAGAACAGGTGCCAATGACAGAATAGCCAGGCCGAGGGGGGAGAGAGGTGCTTCGGTGATGGATTTCCCTGGTGACTTGCCAAGACAGGGCTTTACTGCCTCCGCCCTGGACTGGCTGAGTCAGACTGTGCAGGGGTGGACACTTTGACTGGTATTTGGGAGGCATTTGCTGTGGGTTACAGAGAGGGAGGGGCCTCCTTTGCGGCCAGAGAAGGAGGAAAGAGGCCCTGGGCCCTGGGACTTGGGACTTGGGTGGAGGCTCGGGTTTCGGTCTCACCTGCTGCTCCAGACCATGGCCTGGAGGGCCGCCTGCGCCACCCCCAAAGCAATGAGATAGCCCCTCCTCCCTCAGACCCAGGAGTCCAGGCCCCCAGCCCCTCCTCCCTCAGACCCAAGAGTCCAGACCCCAGCCCCTCCTCCCTCAGACCCAAAGGCCTCGGACCCATACCAAATGCTTCTATGAGATAGTTTTCTCCCCTTGTTCATGAAGAAATGAGCCCAGGCCCAGTCAGATCTGCATCTGTGTCACAGCCCAGGGCCACTGTAACCTTAGGCTACTGACTTCCCTCTCTGAGCCTCTGTTTTCTCCTGTCAATGGGGCAAGGGGTCTGCTCCTTCCCTCAAACCCCAACTCAGGTACAGTCAAGCACAGAAAATACTTGTGGCATGAATGTGATGAGAACACAGAATTGCAGAAGCCAAAGAAAGAGAAGCGTAAGGGCCCTCCTTCCACCCCTACCTCCCCCACCCGCTGCTACACGCACCAGGACCACCTGCTGGGTAGCCAGGAGCTCACAGTCTAGCCCCGCTGGCCACCCCTGCAGCCCCCATCCTTCACTCAGGCAGTTGCAGGGCCCAGAACACCCCTATCTTCTAGGATTGACACTGGCTGTCAAACTCATCCTTCAAGGTGATTCCTGGCCTGCCCTCCTCCTCCAGGCAGCCTGTCCTCCTCCTCCAGGCAGCCTGTCCTGACCCTCAGCAGCCTCTCCTGGCCTTGGCAGAGCCCCTCGTGTCCTCCCTTGCAGCACGCATGGGAAGAAAGGCCATCGTCCTCGCCATTGCTAACACCAGCCTTGCGTTTCCTCTTTGCCAGGTACTGTATTGACAACTCTCTATAACCTGACTTTATCCTCCCAATAAGCTGGGTGTGGTGGGTGGCTCATGCCTGTCATCCCAGCACTTCGGGAGGATAAGGCAGGAGTATCACATGAGCCCAGGAGTTGGAGACCAGCCTGGGCAACATAAGGAGACTCTACTATATATATGTGTATATATATTTATATATAGTCTGAGATGGGAGGATCACCCCAGTAGGTCGAGACTGCAGTGAGCTGTGATTATGACACTGCATTCTAGCCTGGGCCACAGAACTAGACCTTGTCTCAATTAAGAAAAAAAATGGGGATAATAGGACCCATTCCATAGGATGTGGTGAGGATTATGCATACACACACACACACACACACACACACATTTATGATGTACTGAGAAGATATAAGCACACAATAAGTATCTCCAAAATTATCAAGTGGCAAAGCCAGGATTCAGACCCACACCTGCCCGAGGCTCTCTGCCATCAGACCACACTATATCTCTTTCTCTCTGTTCCTTCATCCCCATCAATCGAAGGCAAAAATGTGCCTTCTCTGATTTCCAGGCTCACTCAGCATAGACCGTGGAGGCAACATATCTTGAATGAAGCAACAAAGCAGTAATGCACATGAATGCACCAAATGCCAAAAGCTCGTTTACTCAACAAGTATCTCTCCAACACTTTCTATGTGCTAGACCCAATTCTGTGTGCTGCAGATTAAGTGGAGGACTGATCACACAAAAATCTTTGCCCTTGTGAAGCTTGCATTTTTTTTTTTTTTTTTTTGAGATGGAGTCTTGCTCTGTCACCCAGGCTGGAGTGCAGTGGAGCAATCTTGGCTCACTGCAATCTCCACCTCCCGGGTTCACGCCATTCTCCTGCCTCAGCCTCCGGAGTAGGTGGGACTACAGGCACCCACCACCAAGCCTGGTTAATTGTTTTGTATTTTTAGTAGAGACGGGGTTTCACCATGTTAGCCAGGATGGTCTCAATCTCCTGACCTCGTGATCCACACGCCTCGGCCTCCCAAAGTGCTGGGATTACAGGCGTGAGCCACCACACCCGGCCGCTTTTTTTTTTTTTAAGATGGAGTCTCGCTCTGTCACCCAGGCTGGAGTGCAGTGGCACGATCATCTCGGTTCACTGCAACCTCCACCTCCCAGGTTCAAGTGACTCTCTTGCCTTGGTCTCCCAAGAAGCTGGGATTACAGGTGTGCACCACCAACTCTGGCTAATTTTTTTTTTTTTAGTAGAAATGGGGTTTTATCATGTTGGTGACATGGTGTGATCTCGGCTGACTGCAACCTCCACCTCCGGGGTTCAAGCAATTTTCTTGTCTCAGCCTCCCAAGAAGCTGGGATTACAGGTGTACACCACCACCCCCGGCTAATTTTCATATTTTCAGTAGAGACGTGCTTTCACCATGTTGGCCAGGTTGGTCTCGAACTCCCAACCTCAAGTGATCAATCCGCCTCAGCCTCCCAAAGTGCTGGGATTACAGGCATGTGCCACCGTGCCCAGCCTGTGAAGCTTGCATTCTAACGGAGGAGACACAGACAAAATGAACCAGGAACACAGTGGGTAAGAAGGTGAAAAGTTCTCCACACAAAAATGAAGTAGGGAGAGAGGAAAGAGACTACAAAGAAGTTGGGTTGCCGGGGGCGGTGGCTCACACCCATAATCCCAGCACTTTGGGAGGCCGAGGCGGGCAGATCACGAGGTCAAGAGATCGAGACCATCCTGGCCAACATGGTGAAATGCTGTCTCTACTAAAAGTACAAAATTAGCCGGGCGTGGTGGCGCGCGCCTGTAGTCCCAGCTACTCAGGAGGCTGAGGCAGGAGAATCACTTGAACCTGGGGGGGCGGAGGTTGCGGTGAGCCAAGATTGCGCCACTGCACTCCAGCCTGGGCAACAAGAGTGAAACTCTGTCTCAAAAAAAACAAAAGAAGTCGAGTAAGGGATGCCGCCATTTGAAACAGGGTGGTCAGCCAGTCCTCTGAGAAGGTGACATTCAGGCAAAGATCAAAGGAGGCAAGAAAGTGAGGCATGAGGGTATCTGGTAGAAGAGCATTCCAGGCAGAGGAAACAGCAAGTGCAAAGGCCCTGAGGCAGGACCGGGTCTGGATGTTCCAAGAGCAGCAAGGAGGCCAGTGTGCTGACACACAGAAGGAAGAGATGAGATCAGAATCACGTCCCTTAAGGCCTTGCAAGATGTCAGCTTTTTTTTTTTCTTCTTTTTTGAGACAGAGTCTCGCTCTGTCGCCCAGGCTGGAGTGCAATGGCGCAATCTCGGCTCACTGCAAGCTCCGCCTTCCAGGTTCACGCCATTCTCCTGCCTCAGCCTCCCGAGTAGCTGGGACTACAGGTGCCCACCACCACGCCCGGCTAATTGTTTGTATTTTTAGTAGAGACGGGGTTTCACCGTGTTAGCCAGGATGGTCTCGATCTCCTGACCTCGTGTTCCACCCGCCTCGGCCTCCCAAAGTGCTGGGATTACAGGTGTGAGCCACTGCGCCCGGCCTGTTTTCTGTTTTTTGAGATGGAGCCTCGCTCTCTTGCCTAGGCTGGAGTGCAGTGGTGCAATTATCGGCTCGCCGCAACCTCTGCCTCCCGGGTTCAAGTGATTTTCCTGCCTCAGCCTCCTGAGTAGCTGGGATTACAGGCACCCGCCACCACACCTGGATAATTTTTGTGTTTTTAGTACAGATGGGGTTTCACCATGTTGGCTGGGCTGGTCTCGAACTCCTGTCCTCAGGTGATCTGCCTGCCTCGGCCTCCCAAAGTGCTGGGATTAGAGATGTGAGCCACTGTACCCATGCAAGTTTCTTAACCCTTCTCTTCCTCATTTTCTCATCTGTGAGACGAAGACAGCCTCCCACCCAGACACACTCCCCTCACGGGGCTCTGGGGAGAAATGATGTGGAAAGCTTTGCTAGTAACCTCTACAGCATGGAGGGAGTTCTGGAAAAGTGATTTCAGAAAGGTGTTTATGCCTGGAAAGCCTGTTCATTTTTGTGATGTCCTTGGAGCTGGGCCAGGCATTATCGAGCTAAATCTTAGCTTTTGTCAGAATAGGGGGGTCATTGAGGGAAATTTCCAAAGGAAGGTGGAACGGGATGGGTGGGGAGGTAAGGGCATGAGCAGAGGCAGTGATCGTGGGCAGGAGGTGTCCATAGAAGACGGGCTGCCACTGGCCCTGGAGACAGAAGGTCAGCCCCGGGTTCAAATCCCTCCTTAACCAAGTGCTGAAATGGACAAGTTGCTCAACCTCTCTGGCCTTCAGCTTCCTCATCTGTCAAGCAGGAATCAAACCTCGAACTTCCTCCCGCTGTTAGAATTTCAAGGGAGTTTTAAAGACAGAGCTTTCAACTCTGACCTGTGAACAAGTGTGACATCAAATGTACTGTTCGTTGCTATTATTCTGTTGCTACAAGGCAGACAGTTAGTTTCCCAGCTCCCCTGCAGTCCCCCCAGCCCCTCCTAGATCTGTCTGCCAGCCCCGCCCCGGGGTCACTCCAGCCAGGCTGTGCCAGGTGAATGCTCAGGTATGCGGAGGCGGAGGCGGAGGCAGGACGGCCCTGGGAGGGAGCAGGAGGAGGGGCCGGCAGCCTGGAAGGGAAAGGACAGCGGAGAGCAGGGCAGAGCCTGAGCAGGCAGGTAAGGAGATCCGGGTCAGGAGAGAAGGGGGCCGGGGCTTGACCAATGGGTCTGAGGGACGGGGGGACTGGGGTCTGGACTCCAGGGTCTCAGGGAGGACGGGCTGGGGGTCTGAACTCCCGGGTCTGAGGGAGGAGGGCCTGGGGTCCTGGACTCCTAGGTCTGAGGGAGGAGGGGCTGAGGGCCTGGACTCCTGGGTCTGAGGGAGGAGGAGATGGGGCCTGGACTCCTGGGTCTGAGGGAGGAGTGGACTGGGGTCTGGACTCCTGGGTCTGAGGGAGGAGGGGACTGGGGTCTGGACTCCTGGGTCTAGGGAAGAGGGACTGGGGCCTGGACTTCTGGGTCTGAGGGAGGAGGGGCTGGGGGCCTGGACTCCTGGGCCTGAGGGAGGAGGGGCTGGGGCCTGGATGCCTGCATTGAGGGAGGAGGCTGGGGTAGGAATTAGAGGCTCCTACTGGCCAGGCCTTCACATGTTTGCTGGCTCCCAGGGCACCTCCAGGTGGGCAGGAGCTACCACTCAGCACCATGAGCACCGCCACAGGGTAAGCGCCCCCGGACCCCAGGTCCCAGCCCCAGCACGCCTCCCGCCTCCCCTCGCCTCCTCACCCACACCCGCTTGCGGCAGCCCAGACTGTTTGCGGCGGCCCAGACTCTGGCCCAAGCCCCGACACTCAGGAGGAAGCCAGAGCCTCTCTCCTCCCTGCCCAGCCTGGGGTTAGGGGCCCCCACTGCAGAGCAGACAGGCCTGAGCTCCAGTTCGGCCCTCACACTCAGTGCTGATGTAACCCTGGTCAGAGGACATCACCTCCTGGAGCCTCAGCCCCTCCTCTGTGACACAGGGACAATGTTGAAAAATTGGAGGGATAGTGCATTACAGGACTTAGCTGACCACCTCACTGACAGCAGGTGCTCAACTCATAGGAGTCGCTATTGCGATTGTTATGTTGTTAGTAAATATTAACCCTTTGCTAGAAAATCAGGGCTGTTTATAATGAAGACTCAAGTCCCCCAGAGTAAGCAGGGAGAAAAACAATGAGAGATGAGTCAAAATACCTGCATGGTAGGTAGTGAGCTCTCTGGCCCAGAGGTAATCAAATTGTGGTGACATCAGACTGGCAGGAGCAGGATGAGGAACAGGAGTTTGGGAAAAAGGGTTTTTCAGTTCCCCTGACGCCACCTGATCGCTGAGCTTCTGTTATGTGCATGCAAGTGGGGATTCAAGAATTCTTAGGAAAGGTAATCTTAGGAAGAAATTGAGGACGGGAGGAGACAGAGAAGGATGTGGTTGGGAAGCACCTGGCCCATGGGAGTGGGAGGGGAAGCAGATAATTCCCTGTCTACTTCAGATACCACTAATGCTATTATAACCATTCCCATTTATTGAGCAACTTCTGTGTGCTAAGCCCTGGCAGCATCTTAAGAATGATAATAACAGTTATTGAGGCTTCAAAATACTTCACCTGCATCATCTGACTGAATTTGCCCAACAGCCCTACCAGATGGTTACTACGTTACAGAAAGAAAAACTGAGGCAGGAGAGATTAAATCCTCTTCTGAAGGTCTTATGGCAAGGAGGCAGTAGACAGAGGGTTTGAATCCCGGACTATGCCATGGTAGAGATCACACTCCCCTACCACCCAGCACCACCGCCTGACCTGACCTGTCTTTTTTTTTTTTTTTTTTTTTTTGAGATGGAGTCTCACTCTGCTGCCAGGCTGGAGTGCAGTGGCACGATCTGGACTCACTGCAACCTCCGCCTCCCAGGTTCAAGTGATTCTCCTGCCTCAGCCTCCCACGTAGCTGGCACTACAGGCGCCCACCACCACACCCAGCTAATTTTTGTATTTTTAGTAGAGACAGGGTTTCACCATGTTGGCCAAGATGGTCTCAATCTCTTGACTTTGTGATCCGCCCACCTCTGCCTCCCAAAGTGCTGGGATTACAGGCGTGAGCCACCGCGCCCAGCCTACCTGTCTTCTTAAAGTCCAGCTCTGGCTCTGAGCTCTCCTGCTCAATAATAATAATAATAATAATAATAATAATAATAATAATAACCCTTCCATCGCTCCCCATTACCTTCGTCATGAAGCCCTTGCTGCCCTGCTTGGCATTTCCACAGGATCTGCCCCCAGTCCCACAGTCTCTCTCATTCCTCTTTTCTTCACCAGCCCAGAAGCTGCCCCAAAGCCAAGCGCCAAGTCTATCTATGGTGAGCGGGGGGCAAGGGAGCCCCAGGCCCATAGAACTGGGTCTAAAGAAACAGGACCTGGCATCCAGGGTCTTGGAGGAGGAGGGGCTGGGGGTCTGGACTCCTGAGTCAGAGGGAAGAGGTGCTGGGGGTCTGGACTCCTGGGTCAGAGGGAAGAGGGGCTGGGGGGCTGGACTCCTAGGTTTGAGGGAGGAGGGGCTGGGGGCCTGGACTCCTGAGTCAGAGGGAAGAGGTGCTGGGGGCCTGGACTCCTGGGTCAGAGGGAAGAGGGGCTGGGGGGCTGGACTCCTGGGTCAGAGGGAAGAGGGGCTGGGGGGCTGGACTCCTGGGTCAGAGGGAAGAGGGGCTGGGGGGCTGGACTCCTGGGTCAGAGGGAAGAGGGGCTGGGGGGCTGGACTCCTGGGTCAGAGGGAAGAGGGGCTGGGGGGCTGGACTCCTGGGTCAGAGGGAAGAGGGGCTGGGGGTCTGGACTCCTGAGTCAGAGGGAAGAGGGGCTGGGGGGCTGGACTCCTGGGTCAGAGGGAAGAGGGGCTGGGGGCCTGGACTCCTGGGTCAGAGGGAAGAGGGGCTGGGGGCCTGGACTCCTGGGTCAGAGGGAAGAGGGGCTGGGGGTCTGGACTCCTGGGTCAGAGGGAGGAGGGGCTGGGGGGCTGGACTCCTGGGTCAGAGGGAAGAGGGGCTGGGGGCCTGGACTCCTGGGTTTGAGGGAGGAGGGGCTGGGGGCCTGGACTCCTGGGTCAGAGGGAAGAGGGGCTGGGGGGCTGGACTCCTAGGTTTGAGGGAGGAGGGGCTGGGGGCCTGGACTCCTGGGTCTGATGGAGGAGGGGCTGGGCCTGGACTCCCAGGCTCATTCTCTTTCTCCCCTGGCAGAGCAGAGGAAGCGTTACTCCACAGTTGTTATGGCTGATGTATCCCAGTACCCAGTCAATGTGAGTCTGGGGTCTGTGTTCCCCCAGGACATCTTCTGGGGCAAAGGTGGCCTCAGGAGATAGGGCTTTTGAAAGCAGCTAGGCCCCCAAGCAGGAAGCATGTGGAAAGTCAGTTTGCCCATCCATAAAATGGACCTCCGTTGCCTCACCTCAGTCATGGATATGAAGCCAGGGGCCTCGGGTCCACTTAATCTGCCAGCCTTTCCTCCAGGCCAGCTGTTGTGCTGGACAGTGGGACCACGGAGGCAAATCAAGACACAGCCCTGCATGAGGAAGGGGTAGACAAGGTCCAGAGGAATCCACAGAGGCGCCTGGTGCTCTAATGGAGGTGGCAGGGGGCATGGCAGGAGACCCGAGGAGGCATTTAGAAGGAGAGAGCTATAATCCAGACTCCTTCCCTGCCCGCAAGGAGCCTCCAGTCTGTGAGAAGCCAGACTCAGGTGCTAGTCACTCTGATGAAAGGGAAACAAAGGGCACTGGGAGGAGGAGCTGATTTGTGGAACAGGTGATCAAGGAAGGCTTCCTGGAGGAGGTGTGGTTAGTCTCAGGCTGAAAGTCTGATTATTCTGGGGGATTCTGAGCCCACCTGGCATCATCTTGGGCCTCACTGCTTTCTCCATGGTCCGTACCAGCACCTGGTGACGTTCTGCCTGGGTGAGGACGATGGCGTGCATACCGTGGAGGATGCCTCCAGGAAGTTGGCCGTCATGGATAGCCAGGGCCGAGTCTGGGCACAGGAGATGCTGCTGCGAGTGTCTCCCGACCATGTCACGCTGCTCGACCCGGCCTCCAAGGTGCCGGGGGGCACGTGGGTGGGAGGAGTGTCTGGGGCAGGGACTTCAGGGGGTCTGGGTGTGAATCTTGGCTCCTGCACGTCCTTCCTCTGGGAACTCTGGCGAGGGACCCCAGCCCCCTTCTTGAGCCTTAATAGCCTCATCTATTAAACAGGGCTGTTATCCCTAACCCCCTAACCGCCTGAGGTTGCCCTGACCTGCTGGCCCACACTCCCGTCGCCATTTAGTAGTACCATCATTTCGGGGCCTCAGTTTACCCCGCCATCCCACCCGGCAGGAGGAGCTGGAGTCGTACCCACTGGGCGCCATCGTGCGCTGTGACGCGGTGATGCCACCCGGCAGGAGCCGCTCGTTGCTGCTGCTCGTGTGCCAGGAACCCGAGCGCGCGCAGCCCGACGTGCACTTCTTCCAGGGCCTGCGCCTCGGGGTGAGCAGATGGGCTGGCTCTGGGGGTGGAGCTGGAACTGGGCGGAGCCTGGAGCCGGGGCGGAAATGGGTGGGGCCTCTAGGTGGGGCGGGGCCTGGGGCTAAGGCGGGATCAGAGCAAGGAAGGGCAGGGGACCTGGGAAGGAAGTTCTGGAAGGCAGTGGGGTTTGAGATTGGACCCAGGGTCAAGATAGAACATGAAGGTGGGATGAGGACATGAACAGAACATGGCCAAGAAGGATCTGGGGGAGCAGCCAGGACGAGGTGGGGGCGAGGAACCACCCGGACTGGGTCTCCATGGGCGGGGTCGTGGCTTAGGGCAGGGACAGGTGTAGGGCGAGGGGTGAGTTCGGGGCGTGGACGTGCGTGGGTTCACAGGTGTGAACGGTAGCCGCACGTGGGCTGGGACTGAGCTGAAAAATCGGCCAGGGGCGAGGCCCGGGTAGGAAGTGGGTGCGGCGTGGGGAGGCGTGGCCTGACGGTGTGATTGGCAGGCGGAGCTGATCCGAGAGGACATCCAGGGGGCTCTGCACAATTACCGCTCGGGCCGCGGGGAGCGCAGGGCGGCGGCGCTCAGGTGAGAGGGAAGAAGTTGGCAGGGTCTCTGGGAAGCCGGTTTCCCCTCCTTGTGCCTCAGTCTACAACACCAGCCTGGAACAGAACAAGAGTTTTGCATGGAGTCAAGCACACCCTAGTCGAGTCTTGTCTGTACCTCCCAGACGAGCTGACCCCTTCTCCAGAACTCTGCTTCTTTTCTCTGTTCCCTGTCCAGGCCCTCAGTTTCACTCTAGAGAGGTGCTATCCCTCCGTATATCGGATTTCTCCCTACCTCGTTGAACTTGTTCACTCCCTTTGAGCCTTTTGAGCCTGTGTGTCTCGTTCTGCGCCCTGGATTTCCCCCTCCCTGGACCCCTCAGTGGACCCAGTCTTGGTGTCCCCGTCGCCCTCCGCAGGGCCACGCAGGAGGAGTTGCAGCGCGACCGCTCGCCCGCCGCTGAGACCCCGCCCCTGCAGCGCCGCCCGTCAGTCCGCGCAGTGATCAGCACCGTAGAGCGGGGCGCGGGCCGCGGACGACCCCAGGCGAAGCCCATTCCCGAGGCAGAGGAGGCGCAGAGGCCTGAGCCGGTGGGGACCTCGAGCAACGCTGACTCGGCCTCCCCGGACCTGGGTCCCCGGGGTCCTGACCTGGCGGTTCTGCAGGCGGAGCGGGAAGTGGTGAGCCGCTAAGGAAGGGGTCTGGGGGCAGGGCCAGGCGACTGGAGGCGGGGCTAGGGCGTGGAAGGGCGGGGCCGGCTGCGGGACGGGCGTTCTCTGGTCAGACTTCTGCGTTATGGAAGAGGGGCTGGGTCGGGGGCGGGGCTTGGTTGTGGGGCGTGGCCAGGTGTTTGGGGCGTGGCCTGATCTGGGGAAGTGTATAGGTGCTCAGGTTCAGGGCTTCGACGGGGATGGTTTTGGAACTCGGGAGCCCTGAGCGTCCCCCTCCTCTGTCCCCTAGGACATCCTGAACCACGTGTTCGACGACGTAGAGAGCTTTGTATCGAGGCTGCAGAAGTCGGCGGAGGCGGCCAGGGTGCTGGAGCACCGGGAACGCGGCCGCAGGAGCCGGCGCCGGGCGGCTGGGGGTAAGGGGCACCCTGGCGTGGGATCTGAACCCCCTCCCGATCTCTTCCAAATGTCCCCGCTCTCCCCAGGCTCTCCCCTCCCGCCACTTGCCAGGGCTGACCTCACCGCCATCTTAACCGGGTGTCCACCTCTCTCTGCCTGCCTGGTGCTGGCCCCGCGTCCCCATCGCCGCGCCCGTCTGCTCCCCTCAGAGGGCTTGCTGACGCTGCGGGCCAAGCCGCCCTCGGAGGCCGAGTACACCGACGTGCTGCAGAAGATCAAGTACGCCTTCAGCCTGCTGGTGAGGACGCGCCCGCCCCTGGGCCGGGGCGCGGGCACGACGAACCTGTCCCGTCCCCGCACCCACGCCAACCACCTCCCTCCCCACGCCCCAGGCCCGGCTGCGCGGCAACATCGCCGACCCCTCCTCTCCGGAGCTGTTGCACTTCCTTTTCGGGCCTCTGCAGATGGTGAGACCCGCCCCAGGCCCTCGGGCCCCCCTGCAGCGGGAGGAATCGGGTTCGACTTGTAGAAGGTGTGGCGGCACAGCCTGCCCCTCCTGCTCCCCTGACAGATTGTGAACACGTCGGGGGGGCCGGAGTTCGCGAGCAGTGTGCGGCGGCCGCATCTGACATCGGATGCCGTGGCGCTGCTGCGGGACAACGTCACTCCACGTGAAAACGAGCTCTGGACCTCGCTGGGGGACTCGTGGACCCGCCCCGGGTGAGGGGCGGGGCTGGGAGGCAGGGGGCATGGTGATTGGAGGAGCATAAGGCGCTGGGAGGTGGGTGGCATGATGATTGGAAAATAGGACTAGGAGAGTAGGGAGGGGTTAGAGGCGTGGCTTAGTTGTGTTGGGGCGGGGCTTAGGACAGATGCCAAGATTCAATTGGAGGAAAGGCCAGGAATTAACGTGAAGGAAAGATTTAAGACCACCAGACCAATCGGATTGAAAGAAAAGGGGGGCTTAAAGGAATAGAGGGGCTAGGGGCTACGGGGCAGGGGCGGGGCTACGCGAAGGGGCGGGGCTTCTGGAAGGTTTGGTCTATAACTTTGGTGATGGGACAGAGTCTGTGCACTGCGGGCTGGCAGTTCCGCAGGGAAAGGGTCAGAACCTGAAACCGACCTTACGGAAAACCTGATTTGGAATCAGGTGAGATTTAGAGGCTGGATAAGGCAATTTTTTTCCAGAGAGAGAGATGGATGGGGTCTCAATATTTTGCCCAGGCTGGTCTGGAACTCCTGGCCTCAAGCGATCCTCCCATCTTGGCCTCCCAAAATGCTGGGATTACAGGCGTGAGCCACCGTGCCCGGTCTAGAAATATAAATTGCTGTTGAGTTGGGCTTAGAGCTACCGGCAGGACTTGGTGAAAAGTGGCGGGGCTAGAATCGTTGGAATACAGCGAGCTTTAGGGGAAAACTTAGTGAAGTTAATGCAGGAACGAAGTTGGGGGCTGTATCAGGATCCCTGAGCTCTTGGCCCTGTCCCTGGCCGCAGGCTGGAGCTGTCCCCGGAGGAGGGACCCCCATACAGACCCGAGTTCTTCAGCGGCTGGGAGCCGCCGGTCACTGACCCGCAGAGCCGCGCCTGGGAGGACCCAGTTGAGAAACAGCTACAGCACGAGCGGAGGCGCCGGCAGGTGACCCAAGCGACACAGCAGGGCCGAGGCTGGGAAGTCCGGGGGCGCGGCCGGTCCGCCTGGCCCCGCCTGACCCGACTGTCTTACTTCCTACAGCAAAGCGCCCCCCAGGTCGCTGTCAATGGGTGAGTGTCCGCCCCAGGGCAGGGCAAGGGGGTCAAGGAGGGGTGCGTCCCGGGGGCTCCCGATGCTGACTCCGCCCCCTTTTTTTCTGTGTTTTTCCTTCTGTCTTCCTGGCTCTTCTCAGGTGGGTGAGATGGTGATGGGGCGGGCCGGGGCTGGGAGAGAGGGAGGAGCAGGGTGGGAGGGGGCGGGACCCAGACTTCTGGGGCTAAGGGAGTTGGGAATGGAGACCCGGATTCCTGGGCCTAAGGGAGGAAGGGGGCTGGGAGTGGGTAAAGTCTGAGAGGTTGGATCCCTGGATCCCCAAAAGGCTGGAAGAAGCCAGTTTGTTTTCCCAGGGCCTGGGAAGCACCATGCCTGGGCTCCCTAGGAGGACAGAGCCCTGGATATTGGAGGGGAGAGGCTGGGGAATTGGACCTTTGGGTTTTGAAGAAGAGCCCAAGTCTGGTGCTTGGGATCCTGGAGACCCAGAGGAGCAGGCTTGGGACTTCAAGGGCTTGGGGGCAAGTTTCTGGGAAAGTTAGGAAGTGGTAGTATCTCTGGGCCCCCGAGAGGGGTAAAGGCTGGACGATTAAACTCTTGGTTTTCCAGAGGCTCTAATGCAATTGTCTAAGTCGCTGCTGGGTGTCGGACTGGGTTAAAAGGTTTGAGGGTTAAAAGGATAAGATTGAAGCTT